>NC_000009.12:30464545-30616060 GCF_000001405.40 Homo sapiens | reverse complement strand
TGTGTGTGTGTGCGCATACGCGCGTGTGTGTGACGGAGTTTTGCACTTGTTGCCCAGGCTGGAGTGCAATGGTGCGATCTCAGCTCACCACAACCTCTGCCTCCTGAGTTCAAGCGATTCTTCTCCATCAGCCTCCTGAGTAACGGGGATTACAGGCATGCACCACCACACCAGGCTAACTTTGAATTTTTAGTAGAGATGGGGCTTCTCCATGTTGGTCAGGCTGGTCTCAAACTCCCGACCTCAGGTGATCCGCCCACCTTGGCCTCCCAAAGTGCTGGGATTACAGGCGTAAGCCACTGCACCAGTCTGGGAAACCACTTTTGAAATCATCAGATCTCGTAAGAAACCACTCACTATAATGAGAACAGCATGGGGAAAACTGCCCCCATGATTCAATAATCTTCACCTAGTCCTGCCCTTGGCACGTGGGGATTATTACAATTCAAGATGGGATTTGGGTGGGGACACAGAGCCAAACCATATCAGATAATTATAAAATTTATATGGAAAAACAAATTGTCCAAAATAGTCAAAGTAAATTTAAAGAGAAGAAAATGATCTAAAAGATCTACACTATTAGAAATTAAGATATTATACATTTAAAATAATTTTACATGAAGATAATAGTTTAGAAACTTGCATGCAAGTATATTGTCTAAATAGTTTTCTAATCAAAGTGACACTGTAGTGCCTTAGGGGGAAAAAAACTCTCTTTCTAATAATTGGTTCAGGGTCAATTGGATATTAAGATAGAATAATATATTTAACTATTTTCCACATAAAATTTACATTGTAAAATGCTATATAAAATCATAAGCCTGTTTGACAAAGGTAGACACCTTTATATCTTTGATGTAGACAACAGTTTTTTAAAGAAGATGCAAAAACAGTATCCATAAGAAAAAAATCAATTAGAGAACATTAAAATTAGGACTGTCAATTCCTAAAAGATAGGTGAAACTCAAGCTGTAGAAGGAGCCACACAGGTATGTAAGACATGTTTCATATACAACCAGTTTTACAAATAAATATGTGGAAAACTAACAATAAAATATTTTGAAGATACTAAATATATTAATGGCAGCATAACCTCTCCTGGTAAGCTGCTCTTATAAAAATAGTAGCATGTATTTATGGTAATAATTGATAATGCCTTCCTAATAACAGACTGGCTTTACTTTGCTCCCTTTCTATATAACATGCTTGTGTATCAATCAAATATTCTTGATTTTATTATATTCACATTAAGACTGAGTATTTTTCCATAGAATCCCTAACATTTTCATTATACTCTATCATCATTAAAAAGTTTGAAATGAAACAACTTTAGTTTTGATAATTACTGGACTCATTTACAAAAGTTTTATATAGGAAAACAATGAAATACTTGAATTTTGGATACACTATATTTGTGGTTGTAACAACTATTTCCAATTTTAGTGAGATAGATGCATCAGAAAAATCTAGATTGTTTGCTTAGACCTTGAAAATTCCTCCAGAAATTTCCAAATATATTCAACATGGTATATTAGTTTGGGAAAACCCAAATTTACACCAACATATTACCATGATTTTATTTACTAATCCAAGTATACTATTCAATTTGTTCAACCATATCTATAAACAAACTTGCAAAAAGTGAAGATGCATAGGAACATTAATTGAACATGAACATATAGCTAAAACAAAATATAAACACTAAAAAATAAAATGCAAAACTCTTCTGATTATTAAGGCTTTTCAAGATCCCCTTAAAAGAAAACCAAACTACAAATCACGTTAAAAATCAGTATCTACTACTTTTCCCCCACAGACAATTTAGAATACAAAGATGTCTCCCACTTCTCTTTTGTCAGCTCAATTTAAACTTAATGCATTAGAATGTCTCAGAACAGTCGGTTAGCTTTTAACAGGAACAGACCTTTTATTAAAATTAGGCATAACTCCTTTAACACCTATACACCTGCAGTTAATACCTGCAGTTTTTGTGTGATTTTTCTGGTAAAATAAGTCACATTTCATGTATGTCTTTTGGCACTTCCAATAAGAAAACCACTTATGTTTTCCTAATTTTTAAAATTATAATTTGTGTAGCTACATCATAGTTGTACATAGTTATGGGGTACATGTGATATAACTACACAAGCATATAATGTGCAATGATCAAATCTGGGTAATTGGGATATCTATCATCTCAACTATTTATCATTTCACTATGTTGGGAACATTCCAAATCTAGTCTTTGAGTTAGTTTGAAATATACAGTAAATTATTAACTATAGTCACTCTATTTTGCTATTGAATACTAAATCTTACTCCTTCTATCTAACTGTATTTGTGTACCCATTAAACAACCGTTTTGTTCCCCCTACCCATTACCCTTTCCGGCCTCTAGAAACTACCATTATATTCACTACCTCCATGAGATGAATTATTTTAGCTTTGACATATGTGAGACAAGTGACGTTTGTCTTTGTGTTCCTGGCTTATTTCACCCAATATAATGTCCTTCATTTTCACCCATAATATTGTGAATGACAGTCCTTAATTATTTTTTATATTTAACAAATATACTAGTTTATAATAATGTATTAATATATTTCTTATTTTTTGTCTTTTTTACAACAGTCTTTATAACTTGGGTGAGATGACATCTCATTGTGGTTTTGATGTTCATTTTCCTGGTTATTAATGATATTGAGCAAATTATATTATACCTATTGGTTATTTGTATGTCTTATTTTGAGAAATGTCTAATCAAATCATTTGCCCATTTTAAATCAAACTATTTTTTGCTATTGAGTTGCATTCCTTGTATATTCTTGCTGTTAATCACTTGTCATTTAAATAGTTGGCAGATATTTTTTCCTGTTCTGTAGGTTATCTCTTCACTTTATGTATGGATCTGTATCCATTTTATAGAAGCCTGTAGCTAGTAGGGCCTCACAGTTCTCTTCTGCATGGAGGAAGTCCATTAACACTTGGAGAAGCAAGCTAATACAAACAGAATGCAGTGCTGAGAGAAAGAGATGAAAAATATTGACAAATTCCTAAATCTAACTCCTTCCTTCCACGTTGTTAAAACAATTAAATACATTTTTTTCTTAATCCATTTACTGCTAAATTTCTATCACTTTACATAGAATGCTAAATAATTATTAAATTCAATGTTTGATTAACTGAAATGCAAGTATCACCTTTATTCAAATGACAAGCGAGTGAATAATGCACAAGAATATTATATCCCCAATTCCACATCCCAACAATTTAGCATTTAGGAAAGATAAAACAATTTTGGGAAAAAATAGTCAGCAGAAGAGCTTATAACATAGACATTGGATTCTTTATTTTTAGATCCATATGAATACTGAATAAGATGATCAGGAATCTAGAAAACTAGAGGAGAAAGTGTGTGTGTATTGAGGGAGAGAAGTAAATAGGTTTTTGATATTGGCTCATATTATTTAGGTTAGGTTAGATTGTGCTGCAACAATTATATACACAAAAATATCAATAATTTTACTCTCCAAATATTAAAGTTTTTGCTCATTTCTTACATAAATTGGCAGTAACCAAAATTGGAAATCTGCTTCATCAGTCAGTAAAAATACAAGCTACAGATACATCACATGGTACAAGTGGTTCCAGGTCACCAGAGCAGGGAAGCAAATCTAAAGGGTCTTAAATTCAACGTACTAAAAGTGACAAATACCATTTCTGTTCACGGATCAAACCAGAAATAATTACATCTCTAATTGCAAGATAATTAGGAAACATAGAAGAGGGTATGAATATTCAGAGACTGTCATTATACATGAATAAAATGCAAATATATTTTTTAAGTCATAAATGGAAAGACTTTTTGTATGCTTTAGGGATCAATAATATTCTAGTACTTAAGCAAAAATGAATCCATGAAAAGAAATCCTGTTTTTATATAATTCAAAGACATACAATTATGTAATTATTATAATAAATTTAATTATATAATTAGCACAATAATAACTTACATAACTAGCATAATATAATAATTATGTAATTAGCTTAATTCATCAGTAACAGTTACTGTCCATATCAAAATATATCTTATGCATGTTCCCTTTTCACTAGAGTATGAAATATTTTCATTTTTTCCCATGGGTACATAAAATCACTTCTCTATCTTTTTTGTAAATACCATGTGAGAAGTTTATCACTCCTTTTTAAATATTAAAGAGAAATTAGATAAATTGATTATGACAAGAATGTAAGTAGCTAAAGGTAATTATTTTCAGTCATTTCTGATTAACAAATGTAGCTCTCACATTAATATAATAGTTTATTTTATATAATTCATAGATCTAAGATTTTATTATATAAAACTTTCAGTACTTCAGAATTTGAAATTTAAATGTTAATCATCTAAACTGTTACTTTCAGAAAGTGGGAAAACTGCAACAGATTAATTGTTCCAGAAATGTTACTCTTAAAATATGGTGGAAGAAGTATAAGGCAATTTACAGAAATCTGAAAATTCACATTATAGTTAACAATATCAACATGACAAATAATTTCTTCCCTATAAAATTATATTGCAGGCTGAGTATAGGAAAATGCATTTTAAATTGTAGATTTGGTTAGCTTATTATTTTTGACTCTCATTTATATTATTAATTTTAATGAGAAAAACACGTTTAAAGAGAAAATTAATTAGTAAATAAGATGTTAATTCACTAAATTTATTATCTACTTAAATAATCTGAATTTTTAAATGTTTTCTGTACCTGGAAAATTGAAAAAATAAAAGTATATGCTATCCGCGTGATCATATGTAATGATTAAAAACAAAATAGAGACTTTTTTCTTGAAAACTAAAAAAAGTATAGATTTAAAATGAGAATTTCTAGTGCTGAATTATAGACTTTATAGAAGATTTTCTAACTTGTCAAAATTATTTTAACAGAGGAGGACACGAAGAACCACAGAAAGGTACTGGTCTGACATTATTTGATGAGTATATTCAAAAAATATAGCATAAATTAGTACTGCTCCTCTTGCTCTTGGACAGGGATACTCACTAAAATGTAGTGTTTTTGTCTGCATTTTATAAATATTAGAAAGTAACTGTTGTTTCCTTTCCTACCTTTGTAAGTGGAACAAAATAACTGCTTCAAAATAGGCAGCTTCAAATTCCATCAGCAATCTAAATCTGTATAAAAGTTAATTTCACCATGCCACTATTATTTACTGGGAATGCTTACAGAAGTGAAAATTCACTGAATTTATTTGTGAGGGGGGTGCACATTTGGTATTCCAAAAATTACAGTTATGCAGATATAAATAATTTTGTCATATAAAATGATATAGTTGATTATATTTTTGTCCCTTGGTATTATTTTTAAATGCAGTACTAACAAAAGTCAAATTATAATATAAGTATCTAAAAAAGCTGAAGAACTACATATCTATATAAAACTGGTTACCAGCTATTTCAGGGTTTCGGCATTGCATTATATGCTCTACTAGAATGTAAACTAGCATATGGAAATGACTATTTAATATTTCTTATAATGTAATTCAAATTAACATTTCAAAAGCAACATTATTTTCTAGAATAAATTCTTATCATCCTCTAGACCAGAAAAATTTGTTTTTTGATAAACTAAATATATCATTTTGATTTTTTTTTTAATTATACTTTAAGTTCTGGGTTACATATGGAGAACATGCAGGTTTGTTACATAGGTATATACGTGCCCTGGTGGTTTGCTGCACCCATCAACCCATGACCTACATTAGGTATTTCTCCTAATGCTATCCCTCCCCTAGCCCCCCAGCCCCCAACAGGCCCTAGTGTGTGATGTTCCCCTCCCTGTGTCCATGTGTTGTCATTGTTCAACTCCCACTTATGAGTGAGAACATGCGGTGTTAATATATACTTTTAAAATGTTCTGACTGGATTATTTTTTCTCAAAGATCCTAATTTTTTCTTCACTTTTCTTCTTTTTTTCCCTCTGCTTTATTCTTTCTCTTTTTCCTTTATTTCCTCCTTCTTCCCTTCTTTTATCCAGTCCTCCACTCACTATTCAAAAATTTACTATTGACTCATTATGTACCAAGTTCTGTGTTAGCTGTCAGGAAAAAAAATTAAAGAAAAGATAACAATCTATAAGGAATTTTCAAAGTGGTTGAATACATGAATTTCCTTGTAATCTGACTTGATTTTGCCAAAGCAAAACCAGCCATGAGTCAGCAGAGGTTTTTAATTTTCATAATCCCCAAGTGGCCTTTATAAAACTGAAAGTCACACACATTGTCTTTTTTAGGTGTTCTTCAAGACGTTTTAAAATTTTTAGTTTTACATTTGGTCTATGGTTCATTTTGAGAATATTTTTATGTAAAATGTGAGGTATGTTTTATGATTTACTATTTTGGCATATAGAAATCAAATTGTTCTGGCACCATTTGTGGAAAAGGCAATCATTTCTCTAGTGCATTACCTTTGCCACTTTATGAAAAATTAATTGACAAGTTTAGTTGTGTTTATTTACATGTTGTCTATTTTGTTCTGTTAATCTAGCTGTCTCTCATTTTTTCAAAACCATATTTCCTTGATTACTGTAGCTTTATTGGTAGTGTTGAAATTGGATAGTATCAACTCTCCAACATTGCTTTTCATTTTCATAATTGTCTGATTATTTTAGTTTCCTTGCTTTTTCATATAACATTTAGAATTTGATGATTTATGTCTACCAAAATCACTTGCTGGAATATTTATTAAGTTTCTATTGAATCTATAAGTCAACTAACAGAGAATTGTCATCTTAGTAGTATTTATATTTCAATCCATGAACACTGTTTATTTTCCCATTTATTTACATCTTAAGTGTGTATAATTTTTTGTAGTTTTCAGCATACACAGACTGCACATATTTTCACCTATTTATACAAAAATATTTTTATTTTGGAGTGCTATTATAAAAGGTAATTTTTTAATAAAAGGTAATTTTATAAATAAAAGGTAATTTTATAAATAAAAGGTAATTTTATTATAAAGGTAATTTTAAATTGCATTTGATCTGTATCTTTTTGTTAAAGTTAAGTAAAGACTATATTACTTTTTTCTGGCCAAGAGTTAGTTTGCTTATGCCTCCTCCTCCTCCCCTTTACCTTTTCTGAGTAGTTTTCAAGATTTTTTAATGGATTTTTATCAGAATATCTTTTATTTTAACACTAATTTTGTCCAACACTGAGACTTTTCTGTGGTTTCTACTTAATTCACTGATGTTCAAGTTCTGCCTAGTCTGGTTAGTCAGACCTTGGACTGTCCCCAACTCTAGATGAAATATTACGTTTTAGTTTAAGGTATCAATAACATTTTTATTTACCTCTTAGGCATTCTTTTAACAGTTTTGTGAAGCCCCACTATATATAAATATACATATGCATATGTATACCTTTAAATATTGATGCTGAAAATTGTATCGGTTAATGACAGTTTTCTTTCTTGACAATATTTTATTTCTTTACACAGTCATTGTCATAGTCCATTTTCACACTGCAATAAAGAAAAACTCGAGACTGGGAAATTTATAAAGGAAAGAAGTTTAATTGACTCACAGTTCCACATGGCTGGGGAAGCCTAAGGAAACTTACAATCACGGAGGAAGGCGAAGGGAAAGCAAGGATGTTTTTATCATGGCGGCAGGAGAGAGAAGAGTAAGCAGGGAAATGCCACACACTTATAAAACCATCATATTTTGTGAGAGCTCACTCACTATCACAAGAGTAGCATGGGGGAAACCACCCCCATGATCCAATCACCTCCCACCCTCAACAAATGGGGATTGCAGGTTGCTCCTTCAACCCATGGGGATTACAATTGGAGATGAGATTTAGGTGGGGAAACAGAGCCAAACCTTATGAGTCATCTGCTTATCATTTTGTCACATCATTACTCTCTACATATAGTACTAAAACTTAGGGTAATCTCTATTTTTTCCATACACTCAATTGTTATTACTTTCTCTGATCACCACTTCTATTTGCTTTCCCCAGCATAAAACAGATTCTCTCTCTCTCTTTTTTTTGTAAGTCAGAGAGATGCCATTTTAAGGAGTTTTTCGGCATTTCCAAGAATTGATATTACAAACTTATTTCTACTGTGCTACACATTTCATTTTAGAAGGCATCTTAGTAGAAATGAAGAGTTTGTTTTATGTAGCATTTAATATTAACTAATTGTACCTGTCTTGAGCATTATGTTAGAAAGTATTTCTGAGGCATATGGAAACTAAGGGACAGAGTGCCATAGCACTTTGGTAATATCTGGTATAACTGTGCCAATAAGCATGGCTACATGTTTGCCAGTCCTACATTAAGTTGGAAATACCCTTTTGCTAACTGGTACATCTTTGTGACTTTATGTTAGTACTTAGAACTGAACTATTTAATGTAACAGTCAGTAGCCACATAGTTCTACTTAAGGTTAAATTTTAATTAATCATTAATAAATACAATAAAAAATTCAGTTACTGAGTTTCAGTAAACCCATTTCAAGTGCTCAATAGGCATATCTGACTAGTAGATACTTTACTGGACAACACAGAAATAGAGAACATTTCTATCCTTACAAAAAGTTTCAAAAGACAGTGAAGTCACAGAAAATTAATTTACAATTTAGTTTCATTGATATGTAATTTGCTCCTTAGTTTAAAATAGTATTTTGAACCCAAAATGTTAGAGTAAATACTACATATTCTTATTTCTCATTTGCTAAAATCATCTTATTTTATTCTCCCCTATCAAAGTGACAAGATTTATGATAGACTTCTCTGCTTGATGTAGATATTGACTAAATATGTGAAAATTTATCAGATGTTTTGAAGAAGAAAATGCCAACAGAATTCCATGTCATAATCATCATAATGCCCTAACTGGCTTAAAAGCTGTGTTCTGTGCTATGGTCTAAAGGAGAAACTGCATTTGTACATGGATTCAGCTATTCAGACTGCATGATTAGGAAGTTATTCCATTATATATAAATATGATTCTGAACAATAAAATCATTAAAGAGCCTCAGGGTATATAAAGACTAATCTAACAAAAACATTCTGAAAGTGTTTTATGACTTGAAAATACAGCCTGTAAAGTAATATAGTATGTCACAGAAATGCAATTGCTAAATTAAACTTGATCTGCATAGTTTTATTGAAAAATATTAAATATTTAAATTTTAATATTTTCCTTTTAAATGTCATAAGTATTTTACAAGTATTCCTTATTTTACATTCTGCAGAATCATTTGTGATGAGCCAGAAAATAGTTTTGCAGTTACATTTTAATAGTTTTCTCTCTGAGTTGCTCCATTCTGATATTGCGTGAAAAATTCATTTTTAACTCCCAAGATTCAATTTAAATAAATTATCTTGAGATATTTCCCATATCACTCTTTTATATGTAAGAGATGATAAAAGAAGAGAAAGGAAAAAAAAATCTAATGTCAGTTAACACTTGGTCTTCCAGTTACAGACTCACTATTTCTCTGTCTTGTTGGATTTAGTTACCTAGAATTTATAAATGTATTAGCTTATTCCAATATATTCAATAGGCATATTCCCTGTCAATTCTCTATCTACAGTTATTTCATTGTCCTAGATTAATTTGTTTTCTAAAAGTTTTCAAATATATTGGTGAACTAAACATATAACTCTTACTAACATGCTGTTTTAATGCAATGAAAATGTATGTATTGCATTGTAGTATATAAAAAGAGATAGGGGGTTGTTTTTTGACTTTGTAGTAATGGCCATTCTGGCTGGTGTAGTTGGGTGTCACAATATGGTTTTAATTTGCATTTCCCTGATGATTCGTGATGTTGAGTATTTTTTCATCTTTGGCCATTTGTGTATCATATTTTAAGAAATGTATGTTCATGTTGTTTGTCACAGATGTGGTGAAAAGGGAACACTTATGCACAGATTGTAAGAATGTAAATTAGTGAAACTGCTATGGAAAACAGTATGGAAATTTCTCAAAGAACAAAAAGTAGATCTACCATTCTATCCACCAATACAACTACTGGGTATCTACCCAGAGGAAAAGAAGTAATTATATCAAAAAGACATATGAAATCCCATGTTTATCACAGCACAACTCACAATTGCAAAGATATAAAATCAAGCTAAGTGCCCATCAAATGTTGAGTAAATGAAGAAAATCTTTTTTTTTTTTTTTAAGACGGAGTCTCGCTTTGTCGCCCAGGCTGGAGTGCAGTGGTGCGATCTCGGCTCACTGCAAGCTCCGCCTCCCGGGTTCACGCCATTCTCCTGCCTCAGCCTCCCCAGTAGCTTGGACTATAGGCGCCCGCCACCATGCCCGGCTAATTTTTTGTATTTTTAGTAGAGACGGGGTTTCACCGTGTTAGCCAGGATGGTCTCGATCTTCTGACCTCGTGATCCGCCTGCCTCGGCCTCCCAAAGTGCTGGGATTACAGGCATGAGCCACTGCGCCCGGCCGAAAATCTTAAATATCTATATCTATATCTGTATACACACACACACACACACACACACACATATACACACCATGGAATACTACACAGCCATAGAAAATAACGAAAATAATGTTTTTTGCAGCATCTTGGAAGAAATTGGAGGCCATTATTCTAAGTGAAGCAGCTCAAAAACAGAAAACCGAATTGTATGTTCTGTATTGTAAATGGGAGCTAAGCTATGGGTATCCCAAAGTGTACAGAGTGGTATAATAGACACTGGAGACTGAGAAGCAGGGAGGGGAATGAGTGATAATAAATTACCTAATAGGTACAATATACACTATTTGGCTGATAGGTACACTAAAATCTCTGATATCACTACTATAAAATTCACCCATGTAACCAAACATTTGTGCCCCTAAAGCTATAGTTTTTGTTTGTTTTTGTAAAATAAAGAAATGAATAGGAGAACTTTTCCATTCTTCTTGAGGAATATAGTAGAAAAATTAATATTTCAATTAGATGGAAACTGGTCACAAGTGAATTTGCATTTTCAAAATAAGGATACTTTCAAAACTGAGCTTCTAATAAAAAATTTTGATAGAACAGTAAGTGGTTCCCACATCTACATTATGCTGTCTCCTAACAAAATGAGCCAGGTAGGAAATTATTACAAAGAGGAGTGTGAATTATTTGGGTCTTAAAATACTTAAAAATAGACTTTATTTGTTATTTTTGTCAAAAACCCAACTTTGATATCAGAAAGTGTGTTAGTCTGTTTTCATGCTGATGATAAAGACATACCTGAGACTGGGCAATTTACAAAACAAAGAGGTTTAATGAAATTACAGTTCCACATGGCTGGAGAGGCCTCACAATAATGGTGGAAGGTGAAAGGCACATCTCACATGGCAGTAGATAGAAGAGATCTTGTGCAGGGATATTCCCCTTTTATAAGCCATCAGATCTCATGAGAATTATTCTCATGAGAAAGAGAACAGCATGAGAAAGACCTGCCCACGTGATTCAATTATCTCTCACCAGGGCCCTCCCCCAACACTTGGAAATTCAAGATGAGATTTGGGTGGGGACACAGCAAAACCATATCAGGAAGTTACTCATCATTCTTTTTCCTAAAGTAGGCATTTATTATGATTGCTTGCTATACATCCTGCTCTGCAATCTCTCATGCAGAAAAAGTGCTCCCAGTCTTCAGTGCACTGTTATTGCTGGATAAGCCTGGCCAATGGGAGGCATTTGTGGAAGAGAAAAACCTCCAGTTCTCTGTTACCTGTGTCCATTTACTGTGACATATTAGGTGATGGTCACAGACACTCATTTCATGGCCCCAGTTTTTATAAGATGACTCTGCTTTTGTGTTCTAGTTACTTCTGCTGTTTTTCCAATACTAAGTATGACAGGAATTTCCTGCTGTTGCTGATGTCTGGGTTCTCTTTAAAGTCCTTTCATCACATGAAATGTATCCCCTGTATTAAGTTTCCCTATAATAAAAAACTTAGAATATTTTCTGCCTGCTTACCTGAACCATCAGTGATACATTTGAAAAATATGTCACAATGTATTTAATTTAAATGTGGGGAATGACATTTTTTTGGTCAGCATTTACATTAGTACTTAAGTAACAATGGTATCTAAATAACATATTTTTAAAATCATTTAAACTATACATAAATGTATTTGTTTTTGATACCTTTATTTCTATTTAACTAAATATAAAATACTAATAAGGTATTTATTAAATAATATTGACTACATGTTTCATTTACATAATACACTTTTAAATATGAATCATGATTTTTTTCAAACACTACTTCATAATATTTACTTGTTGGCTTTATGTTAACTTATTCAGAGTAACACTCTGAATTAACTGTGTCACTCATGAGAAAGGGTTTTTCAACTATAATCTTGCCAAATTTACTATATTTCCAAGTCTTACACTAACATTGTGAAAATAAGGTAATAAGTAAGCATATCTATTAATATCATCTTTGGTCAACTCTTAACTAGTACCAATTATAGTGTAAAAACAAACATGATTTTTCCTACTAAAAATATTGGAATTGTTTTGAGAGAACACAATTTAAAATTATTCATAGATAAAATATAAAATTTATTAGATTAAAAATTTTAAATGCATTTAAAATTGTTTCATAAAGAGAATATTTAACTATCCAATCCGGTTTACACTGATAGGCTATTTTATTTTGGGTAAGAGCTAGACTAAGAGGAAAGTAGAATATTGATAAATGTCTAGGTTTACAAGTTGAAAAGTAGCAATCAATGGATTACAACTGATGGATTCAATGTCAATTCATAAGTGCTTTAAACATATGTGTAATTGCCTAGCTAGAATAAAAAGAAATAAAAGGCATCCAAATGGTAAAGGAAGAGGAGAGATTGTCTTGCTTGCTGAAAATATGATCTTAACGTAGAGAAAACCTTAAAGATCCCACTGAAAAACTGAGAGAGTTGGTAAACAAATTAGATAAATTTATAAATTAAAAATCAACATACAAATATTATTGTTTCCATACAGTAATGAAAAACTATCTGAAAGATAAATAAAGCAATTTCATTTATAATAGCATCAAAAATATATAAAGATTTAGAAGTAAATTTAATCAAGGATGTGAAAGATTTGTACACTGAAAACTATAATTCATTGATGTAATATATTGAAAATGACATAAATAAATTAAAAAATCCCATGTACTTATATTGGAAAAATTAATACTGTTAAAATGTTAATACTATCCAAAGCAACCTACAGATTCAGTGTCACTACTATCAAAATCCCAATGTCATTCTTGACAAAAATAGAAAAATCAATTACAAAATATGTATGAAACCACAAAAGATCCCAAATAATCATAGCAATCTTAAGCAAAAAGAACCAAGCTAGAGGCATCACACTATGTAATTTCAAACTATATTACAAAATTATAGTAATTAAAACAGCATAGTACTGGCATAAACACAGACACATTGAGCAGTGTGATGGGATACAGAACCCAGAAATAAACCTATGCATGCTTCTATGAGCAACTGATTCTTGACACACGGACAAAGAACATACAATAGGAAAGAAACATCACTTCAATAAATGATGTAGGGAAAACTGGCTATCCATACATAGAAGACTATAATTGGATGCTTATGTCATTCCTTATACGCAAATAAGAAAAATAGATTAAAGACTGAATGTAAAACCTGAAACTAAATCTACTAGAAAATAAATTAATATTGTTAAACTAATATTGTTAAACTATCAATACTACCCAAAGCAATCTACAAATTCAGTGCCACCGCTATCAAAATTCCATTGTCATTCTTCACAGAAATAGAAAAACCAATTCTAAAATGTTTATGAAACCACAAACGATTCCAAATAATCAAAGCAATCTTGAGCAAAAAGAACAAAGCTAGAGGCATTGCACTACCTGACTTCAAAAATAATACAACATTGTTCTTGGCTACAATTTCCTGCCTATAACACCAAAAGCGTAGGCAACAAAAGCCAAACAGACAAATGGAATTGCAACAAACTAAAACGTTTCTTCAAAACAAAAGAAACAATAATAGAGTGAAGAGATAACCCATAGATAGGGAGAGAATATTTTCAAGCCATCCATCACATAAGGGGCTTATCAATAAAATATAAGGAACTCAAACTTCTCAAAAACAAGAAAACAAGCAAGCTTACTAAAAAATACGCAAAAAACATGAGTAGCTATTTCTTAAAACAAGACATACAAAAGGTTAACAGGTGTATTGAAAAGATCTTCAATATCACTAATTATCAGGGAAATGCAAGTAAAACCATGATCAGATATCACCTCACACATGTTAGTATGGCTATGAACAAAAAGATGGAAGAAAAGTGATAAGGTTTGGTGCTGTGTGCCCACCCAAATCTCATTTTATAGCTCCCATAATTTCCATGTGTTGCCGGAGGAAGCCGTGAAAGATGATTGAATCATGGTGGCAGGTCTTTCCCATGCTGTTCTTGTGATAGTGAATGGGAAACATGAGATCTGATTGTTTAAAAATGGGAGTGTCTCTGCACAAGCTCTCTTTTTGCCTGCTCTCACCCATTTAAGATGCGACTTGCTCCTCCTTGCCTTCTGCCATGATTGTGAGGCCTCCCCAGCCACGTGAAAATGTAAGTCCAATAAACCTCTTCTTTTGTAAATTGCATAGTCTGGGGTATGCCTTTGTATCAGCAGCATGAAAACAAACTAATACAGTAAATTGGTACCAGCGAGTGGGGCATTACTGAAAAGATAACAGAAAATGTGGAAGCGACTTTGGAACTGGGTAACAGGCAAAGGTGGGAACAGTTTGGAGGGCTCAGAATAAGACAGGAAAACGTGAAAAACCTTTGAACTTCCTAGAGACTTGATGAATGGCTTTAATAAAAATGCTGATAGTAATGTAAACAACAAGGTCCAGGCTGCAGTGGTCTCAGATGGAGATGAGAAACTTCTTGGGAACTGGAGCAAAGGTGACTCTTGCAATGTTTTAGCAAAGAGACTGGTGACCTTTTGCCCCTGTCCTCAAGATCTGTGAAACTTTGAACTTGAGAGAGATAATTTAGGGTATCTGACAGAAGAAATTTCTAAGCAGCAAAGCATTCAAGAGATGACTTGGGTGTTGTTAAAGGCAATCAGTTTTAAAAGGGAAACAGAGCATAAAAGTTTGGAAAATTTGCAGCCTGACAATGCGATAGAAAAGAAAATTCTATTTTCTGAGAAGAAACTCAAGCCCACTGCAGAAGTTTGCATAAGTAATGAGGAGCTGAATGTTAATCACCAAGACAATGGAGAACATGTATCCAAGGCACATCAGGGATCTTTGTGGCAGCCCCTTCCATCACAGGCCCAGAGGTTTAGGAAGAAAATACGGTTTCACGGGCCATGCCCAGGGTCCCTCTGCTCTGTGCAGTCTAGGTACTAGGTGTCTTGTGTCCCAGTCACTCCAGACGTGACTAAAAGTGTCAAGGTGCAGTGCGGGCTATTGCTTCAGAGGGTGGAAGCCCCAAGCCTTGGCAGCTTCCACATGGTGTTGAGCCTGTGGGTACACAGAAGTCAAGAACTGGGGTTTGGGAACTTCTGCCTAGATTTCAGAGGATGTATGGAAACGCCTGAATGTACAGGCAGAAGTTTGCTTCAGGGGCAGGGCCTTCATGGAGAACCTCTGCTAGGGCAGTGCAGAAGGGAAATGTGGGGTTGGAGCCCCCAGACAGAGTCCCCACTGGGGCACCATCTAGTGGAGCTATGAGAAGACAGTCACTGTCCTCCAGACATCAGAACCGTAGATCCACTGACAGCTTGTGCCCTGTGCCTGGAAAATGCACAGACACTCAACACCAGCCTGTGAAAGCAGTCGGGAGGGAGGCTATATCCTGCAGTCATAGGGGTGGAGCTGCCCAAGGTCATGGGAACCCACCCCTTACATCACCGTGACCCAGATGTGAGACACGGAGTCAAAGGAGATCATTTTGGAGCTTTATGATTTGAATGCCTGCTGGATTTCAGACTTGCATAGGCCCTGTAACCCCTTTGTTTTGGCCAATATCTCCATTTAAAATGGCTGAATTTACCCAATTTCTGTACCCCCATTGTATCTAGGAAGTAATTAACTTGCTTTTGATTTTACAGTCTCATAGGCGCAAGGGACTTGCCTTGTCTCACATCTTTGGACTGTGGACTTTGAGTTAATGCTGAAATGAGTTGAGACTTTCGGGGACTGTTTAGAATGCATTATTGGTTTTGAAATGTGAAGATATGAGATCTGGGAGGGGCCAGGGGTAGAATGATATGGTTTGGCTCTGTGTTCCCACCAAAATCTTATCTTTTAGCTTCCAAATTCCCTTGTGTTGTGGGAGGGACCTGTGGGAGATGATTGATTCATGAAGATGGGTATTTCTCATGCTTTTCTCATGATAGTTACTGGGTCTCATGAGATCTGATGGTTTCAAAAATGGGAGTTTCCCTGCACAAGCTATCTCTTTGCCTGCTGCCACCCACATAAGATGTGACTTACTCCTCCT
The DNA here is from genome assembly GCF_000001405.40 of Homo sapiens. Classification (NCBI taxonomy): domain Eukaryota; kingdom Metazoa; phylum Chordata; class Mammalia; order Primates; family Hominidae; genus Homo; species Homo sapiens. The sequence goes on along the minus strand of NC_000009.12, from coordinate 30,599,507 downwards.
TGCCTTCCACCATGATTGTGAGGTCTTCCCAGCCATGTGGAACGGTAAGTCCAATAAACATCTTTCTTTTGTAAATTGCACAGTCTCGGGTATGTCTTTATCAGCAGCATAAAAATGGACTAATGCAGTAACTGTTGATAAAGATATGGAGAAAAGGAAACCCCTGTACACTGCTGTTGGGAATGAAAATTACAAGCATCTTGAAACACAGTATGAAGATTCCTCACAAACTATAAGAAGAATTACCATATTATCCCAATCCCATTTCTAGATACATGTCCAGAGGAAGTGAAATTAGTATGTCAAAAGGGAGGTCTGCATTGTCGTGTACACTGCAGCATTATTCACAACAGTCAATATTTAGAAACAACCTAAGTGCTCATTAACTGAATAATGAATTTTAAAAATGTAGTTTATATACACAATGAAATACTATTCATCCTTTTGAAAGAATGAAATTCTGTCATTTACAAGAACATGGATTAATTTACAGTACATTGTGCTAAGTGGAATAAGCCAGGTACAGAAACACAGATGACTCATGATATCACCTGTGTGGAATCTAAAAATTTGAATTCCTACAAGTAAAGAGTAGGATGGTGGTTTACCAGAGGTGGAGAAGGGTAGGGTGTGTGGGAAAACGGGAAGTGTTTGACAGGACAAAGCTTTAGTAAGACAGGAGAAAGAAATTCTGGTGATATATTGCACAGCAAAATAACTGCAGTTAATTATAATGTATTGTGCATTTCAAAATTGCTAAGAGAGTGAATTTTAAATGTTCTCACAACAAAGTAATAAGTATGTCAGGTGATGGATAGGATTATTAACCTGATTTGTTCATTCCGCAATATTTACTGTATTGAAGTATTACCTTGTACCTCATAAATATATATATACAAATATATATATAATTGTTACAAAATTAAAAAAATAAAAAAGATGTGTTTGATCTTTAAAAATTTTCTGAGAGAAGTGTGTCTGTTTTTTCAGAAGAAACTTACATTTAATAGACATTAAGTTAACTTAAGTAAGGCAGATAATTTTGGCCATCAGGTTATATTATTAAATGAACTGTTTTTGCTAATTTTATAAAAGCTGTGGATTATTAACAGCAAGTAGGGGATATTTTGTCATGATCAGATAAAGATTTTGCATGATTCTATTTGAAAAAATGAAATTATTTCCCTAAAATTGCAAAGTGTTAGTGCCTTTTATTTCAGAGGTCTAGCCTTAAATGGTTTAGTCAATTACATCAAGCTTTCAGAAATAAACACTGGAACATCTGTGGGGGTAGTACATAAAAGTGTGTTTTTAAAAGATATGTTATATAAAGACACGTGTAAGGTATTTTCAACAACTTTTAAGATTGACAAAGCCAATTTCTTTGACACTTGGCGGAGTTTCCACTTTCGAAAAGTTTTGTCAAGTTTGTTTCTTTCATATTACACAATGCTAAACATGTATCTATCTATTCTACTTCTAATAGAAATGAAAACATAAAAGCCTATGCCCATTTAAAGGATGGTACATTAATGTTCATAGCGGCTTTATTTGCAATAGTCAAAAACTGAAAATAGTCTAAATGTTCATTGACAAGTGAATTTACTATTGATAAACATTTTGTGATATATGTCTATAATGAAATAATACTCAATGGTAAGAATAAGATACATGTCTTGCCATGAATAAATCTCAAAATAATTATGCTGAGTCATCAAAAAAGCATAACACTCTATGCTTCCGTTTATATGGAAATGTAAACTCATGGATAGTTACTGAAAGTATATCAGTGGTTGCCTGAGAATGGGACAGGGATAGGCAGAAGGAAGTGAATGGAAAAAAAAATGAGGAAACTTTATGGATATGTACATTGTTTTAATGTGTTGATGGTTTCCTAGGTATATACAAATGCCAAAAAATACCAAAATGTACAATTGAGGTAGGGGCCATTTATTGCATTTCAGTAAAGCTTTAAGAAATGACTGATACAAATTGACTTACATGACCAGAAAGTTTTTTAAAAATTCTCCTATTTACTCCCCTACTTTTATTCTTCTATGTCATCATAGACAGTGTTAACATACATTTCTCTTCCTAATGTTCTTTTATGTTCAAATATCTTCAGGTAAACAGTAACTATCACTATAATTTCTTGTTTCCTCTCTAGTTAATTATTAAGAATGCATTGATACCAGTACGATGCTGTGTTGGTTACTGTAGCCTTGTAGTATAGTTTGAAGTCAGGTAGTGTGATGCCTCCAGCTTTGTTCTTTTGGCTTAGGATTGACTTGGTGATGCAGGCTCTTTTTTGGTTCCATATGAACTTTAAAGTAGTTTTTTCCAATTCTGTGAAGAAAGTCATTGGTAGCTTGATGGGGATGGCATTGAATCTATAAATTACCTTGGGCAGTATGGCCATTTTCACGATATTCATTCTTCCTACCCATGAGCATGGAATGTTCTTCCATTTCTTTGTATCCTCTTTTATTTCATTGAGCAGTGGTTTGTAGTTCTCCTTGAAGAGGTCCTTCATGTCCCTTGTAAGTTGCATTCCTAGGTATTTTATTTTCTTCGAAGCAATTGTGAATGGGAGTTCACTCATGATTTGGCTCTCTGTTTGTCTGTTATTGGTGTATAAGAATGCTTGTGATTCTTGTACATTGATTTTGTATCCTCAGACTTTGCTGAAGTTGCTTATCAGCTTAAGGAGATTTTGGGCTGAGACAATGGGGTTGTCTAGATATACAATCATGTCATCTGCAAACAGGGACAATTTGACTTCCTCTTTTCCTAACTGAATACCCTTTATTTCCTTCTCCTGCCTGATTGCTCTGGCCAGAACTTCCAACACTATGTGGAATAGGAGTGGTGAAAGAGGGCAACCCTGTCTTGTGCCAGTTTTCAAAGGGAATGCTTCCAGTTTTTGCCCATTCAGTATGATATTGGCTGTGGGTTTGTCATAGATAGCTCTTATTATTTTGACATATGTCCCATTAATACCTAATTTATTGAGAGTTTTTAGCATGAAGGGCTGTTGAATTTTGACAAAGGCCTTTTCTGCATCTATTGAGATAATCATGTGGTTTTTGTCTTTGGTTCTGTTTATATGCTGGATTACATTTATTGATTTGCGTATGTTGAACCAGCCTTGCATCCCAGGGATGAAGCCCACTTGATCATGGTGGATAAGCTATTTGATGTGCTGATGGATTTGGTTTGCCAGTATTTTATTGAGGATTTTTGCATCAATGTTCATCAAGGATATTGGTCTAAAATTCTCTTTTTTGGTTGTGTCTCTGCCCGGCTTTGGTATCAGGATGACGCTGGCCTCATAAAATGAGTTAGGGAGGATTCCCTCTTTTTCTATTGATTGGAATAGTTTCAGAAGGAATGATACCAGTTCCTCCTTGTACCTCTGGTAGAATTTGGCTGTGAATCCATCTGCTCCTGGAATCTTTTTGGTTGGTAAGCTATTGATCATCGCCACAATTTCAGAGCCTGTTATTGGTCTATTCAGAGATTCAACTTCTTCCTGGTTTAGTCTTGGGAGGGGGTATGTGTCGAGGAATTTATCCATTTCTTCTAGATTTTCTAGTTTATTTGCGCAGAGGTGTTTGTAGTATTCTCTAATGGTAGTTTGTATTTCTGTGGGATTGGTGGTGATATCCCCTTTATCATGTTTTATTGAGTCTATTTGATTCTTCTCTCTTTTTTTCTTTATTAGTCTTGCTAGCGGTCTATCAATTTTGTTGATCCTTTCAAAAAACCAGCTCCTGGATTCATTAATTTTTTGAAGGGTTTTTTCTGTCTCTATTTCCTTCAGTTCTGCTCTGATTTTAGTTATTTCTTGCCTTCTGCTAGCTTTTGAATGTGTTTGCTCTTGCTTTTCTAGTTCTTTTAATTGTGATATTAGGGTGTCAGTTTTAGATCTTTCCTGCTTTCTCTTGTGGGCATTTAGTGCTATAAATTTCCCTCTACACACTGCTTTGAATGTGTCCCAGAGATTCTGGTATGTTATGTCTTTGTTCTCGTTGGTTTCAAAGAACATCTTTATTGCTGCCTTCATTTCGTTATGTACCCAGTAGTCATTCAGGAGCAGGTTGTTCAGTTTCCATGTAGTTGAGCGGTTTTGAGTGAGTTTCTTAATCCTGAGTTCTAATTTGATTGCACTGTGGTCTGAGAGACAGTTTGTTATAATTTCTGTTCTTTTACATTTGCTGAGGAGAGATTTACTTCCAACTATGTGGTCAATTTTGGAATAGGTGTGGTGTGGTGGTGAAAAAAATGTATATTCTGTTGATTTGGGGTGCAGAGTTCTGTAGGTGTCTATTAGGTCTGCTTGGTGCAGAGCTGAGTTCAATTCCTGGGTATCCTTGTTAACTTTCTGTCTCGTTGATCTCTCTAATGTTGACAGTGGGGTGTTAAATTCTCCCATTATTATTGTGTGGGAGTCTAAGTCTCTTTGTAGGTCACTCAGGACTTGCTTTATGAATCTGGGTGCTCCTGTATTGGATGCATATATATTTAGGATAGTTAGCTGTTCTTGTTGAATTGATCACTTTACCATTATGTAATGGCCTTCTTTGTCTCTTTTGATCTTTGTTGGTTTAAAGTCTGTTTTATCAGAGACTAGAATTGCAAACCCTGCCTTTTTTTGTTTTCCATTTGCTTGGTAGATCTTCCTCCATCCTTTTATTTTGAGCCTATGTGTGTCTCTGCACGTGAGATGGGTTTCCTGAATACAGCACACTGATGGTTCTTGACTCTTTATCCAATTTGCCAGTCTGTGTTTTTTAATTGGAGCATTTAGTCCATTTACATTTAAAATTAATATGGTTATGTGTGAATTTGATCCTGTCATTATGATGTTAGCTGGTTATTTTGCTCGTTAGTTGATGCAGTTTATTCCTAGCCTCGATGGTCTTTACAATTTGGCATGATTTAGCAGTGGCTGGTACCGGTTGTTTCTTTCCATGTTTAGTGCTTCCTTCAGGAGCTCTTTTAGGGCAGGCCTGGTTGTGCCAAAATCTCTCAGCATTTGCTTGTCTGTAAAGTATTTTATTTCTCCTTCACTTATGAAGCTTAGTTTGGCTGGATATGAAATTCTGGGTTGAAAATTCTTTTCTTTAAGAATGTTGAATATTGGCCCCTACTGTCTTCTGGCTTGTAGAGTTTCTACCGAGAGATCCACTGTTAGTCTGAGGGGCTTCCCTTTGTGGGTAACCCGACCTTTCTCTCTGGCTGCCCTTAACATTTTTTCCTTCATTTCAACTTTGGTGAATCTGACAATTATGTGTCTTGGAGTTGCTCTTCTCGAGGAGTATCTTTGTGGCGTTCTCTGTATTTCCTGAATCTGAATGTTGGCCTGCCTTGCTAGACTGGGGAAGTTCTCCTGGATACTATCCTGCAGAGTGTTTTCCAACTTGCTTCCATTCTCCCCGTCACTTTCAGGTACACCAAAACAGAGATGTAGATCAATGGAAAAGAACAGAGCCCTCAGAAATAATGCCGCATATCTACAACTATCTAATCTTTGACAAACCTGAGAAAAACAAGCAATGGGGAAAGGATTCCCTATTTAATAAATGGTGCTGGGAAAACTGGCTAGCCATATGTAGAAAGCTGAAACTGGATCCCTTCCTTATACCTTATACAAAAATTAATTCAAGATGGATTAAAGACTTAAACGTTAGACCTAAAACCATAAAAACCCTAGAAGAAAACCTAGGCATTACCATTCAGGACATAGGCATGGGCAAGGACTTCATGTCTAAAACACCAAAAGCAATGGCAACAAAAGACAAAATTGACAAATAGGATCCAATTAAACTAAAGAGCTTCTGAATAGCAAAAGAAACTACCATCAGAGTGAACAGGCAACCTACAAAATTGGAGAAAATTTTCATAACCTACTTATCTGACAAAGGGCTAATATCCAGCATCTACAATGAACTCAAACAAATTTACAAGAAAAAAACAAACAACCCCATCAAAAAGTGGGCGAAGGACATGAACAGACACTTCTCAAAAGAAAACATTTATGCAGCCAAAAAACACATGAAAAAATGCTCACCATCACTGGCCATCAGAGAAATGCAAATCAATACCACAATGAGATACCATCTCACACCAGTTAGAACGGCGATCATTAAAAAGTCAGGAAACAACAGGTGCTGGAGAGGATGTGGAGAAATAGGAACACTTTTACACTGTTGGTGGGACTGTAAACTAGTTCCACCATTGTGGAAGTCAGTGTGGCGATTCCTCAAGGATCTAGAACTAGAAATGCCTTTTGACCCAACCATCCCATTACTGGGTATATACCCAAAGGACTATAAAACATGCTGCTATAAAGACACATGCACACGTATGTTTATTGCAGCACTATTCACAATAGCAAAGACTTGGAACCAACCCAAATGTCCAACAATGATAGACTGGATTAAGAAAATGTGGCACATATACACCATGGAATACTATGCTGCCATAAAAAATGATGAGTTCATGTCCTTTGTAGGGACGTGGATGAAATTGGAAATCATCATTCTCAGTAAACTATCACAAGGACAAAAAACCAAACACTGCATGTTCTCACTCATAGGTGGGAATTGAACAATGAGAACACATGGACACAGGAAGGGGAACATCACACTCTGGGGACTGTTGTGGGGTGGGAGTGTGGGGAGTGATAGCATTAGGAGATATACCTAATGCTAAGTGACGAGTTAATGGGTGCAGCACACCAGCATGGCACATGTATACATATGTAACTAACCTGCACATTGTGCACATGTACCCTAAAACTTAAAGTATAATAATAATTTTTTTAAAAAAAGAAAAAAGAATGCATTGAAATGTTAAAAATATGCTCATGCATTCAGAATACTATGGTCTCTGATTCAAATAATAAATTATGCTATTGGCAATAATACAGAATATTACCATTTTGGCATATTAACTACCATTAACCCTGATCTTATACTAACTGGACACCTTGAGTTAATCATGACTTTTTAAAAGAGGGAAGCACCATAAAACTAGAAATTACACTAATAAAAAATAATGGAAAATGCTTGCAGTATAAAAAATGATGGCTTTTTTTTCTTATTAACGTCAACTATTGTGAAATATAGATAGAATCTACTCTTTATGATTAGCCCTGCTCAAAAATGAAATTTTAAAAATACTATCTAAAACTAAATAGATGGACTAAGAGAAATTTGCATAAAAATGATAGAATTGTTGCTATTTCTTCTATTAATTGAGATAATATTTCTATGCCTTTGAAATTAGCTGCAATAGAAAACTGAATTATTTTCAACTACATTATTGTTTTTCATTATTAAACATATTATACTGCTGTTTCTTAAAAGTAGCCTTTAAAATTTTACCAACTTTTTTCAAAGTCTACATGCCAAAATATTAAAATAAGCCATTCATTCTTGATAAATTCTATTTATTTAATTACATAGTACATAATTTGTTCAAGCAATAGATACTATCAAGTTACAGCCAGTGCAGTTAACTGCTGAGAAACATTGTTTACATATGAGCCAAGTCAGCTGTCAGTCCTTTAAAGAAGACTTTATCAGCCTTATATATTGTAGTCCAATTTGTATCACTGACTTTATATGTTGGATAATTGATACTCCATGTTGTCAGGGAGTCTATTTCACTGCAGCTGAGTGATTTTAATATGTGCTTCTTAGAGTAACATTTCCCCTGTGACCCATAGTTTAATTCAGATTGACTGAGTTATGTGTCAGTGCAAGTTGCCAAAATTATTTCAGTGTGCTTTCGATCTGGTCTCACTTTTCCAAAAGGCTACACACATTTAAGATGTTCAGAAATACCTCATGTTTTCCTTCTGGGTCATCTTTTTCATATCCTTCACCACCCTTGTCAGTATCCACATTGGGCAAATTGCCTAAGATCCCCCTTTTCATCCTTTTAAAATATGAAAACAAAATCTACTGAGGGCAGCAAGTCAGAAAAGTCTGTTTTCCTTGACCTATGGCCATTGTCAACAGCAGTCCCACAGATGTGGCTATGTGTATTCTGACAAATTCTGAAAAACTTAAAAGCATGAACTCATTCTTCTTGAGACTAAAAAATTTCCCAACACTTTAAGAGAATAGTACGTTAAATACGTTTGATATTAATGTATTAAATGTAAATATGTTAAGCATTTTGTATTAATATGTTAAACACAAACATGAATAATGATGTAAAATAAGTCTTCATATAATCAGAAAACAGCAAAGAAAGGAGCTAAATATATATTCGCAATTCTCACAGTAGAAGTAATATTGATTTAATAAAAAATTGTAAGTAAACTGCAATTATGCATATTAGGCTTGAGTTTTGTATTCAGATGCATGTATAAATAGAAGACCTGCTACTTTTAATAAAAAGCACTTTAGCTTTATATAATTCTTTAAATTAGGAAAATAGGTGAAGTTAGTCTCTTTTCTTCATGTTCCTGAGAGACAAGGAATGTGTGTATATAAAATTAAAACTTAAGGTCTAGATAAATGGGTATATATTTAATATGTTTGACAACTAATAGGTGGGATCCCATAATTAAAACAAACCTTGAAAAATCTATTTGCCTACTAGATTAAATTTTCTAGTCTCTGAATGTCTCAGTATTTATGAGCTCAGTGACAAAAAACCAGCTGTGGGTACGCACTTATTTGCCACAGGAACCTAAGGTATTTTGGTCCTAGTTCACACTGTTTAGATGACAAGCTCCTTTATTCTTAATGCACGTAAAAAATGTGTTCTTGTTGTGGCAATGTTCTCCAGGGCTTTAGCAACTGAGAAAGGATGTATTTTGAATTTAAAAATAGTTCAGCAAGAGGCCTGATAGTAGAAGGCAATAGAGGCAACTTGAAGGTGCTAAAGGAGAAAAGCTTAGCTGCTCTTCAGGGAGAAAAGGTAGCTGCCCCAATATTGGTGAGCATGCTGAATGATCACTTTTCAACCTTAGTTTAGTGGCCCTGAGAGAGTTCTAGTAGGACTTTGGAAATAATTTTTTTTAGCAGCTCTTCTCATATTTATTATCCACTGACTTAAAATGCACATATGGCAATTACATTTATACCAGAACATATTGAGTTTCTGTACTTCACACTAACCACGTATTTCAGAGAAAACCCAGTTAAAAGTAGGAAATAGTTCACTATCACTTTGAGAAATGGCATCTGAGAATAAGAAACTGGGAGGACCCTCAAGTTTTTGAACATTCTAGGAGATGTAATGGAGCATGACAGTCATTCTCAAACTTACAAAGAAAGATCTTTGTTATTTTCACATTATCCAAAGGCTTTTTCCTTTAAAAATCCCAGGAGTGTCTCCACAGTAGCACTTTACTTATAATGTAGAAAGCCTGAGAATACACTGAATAAATTCAGGTATTAAGCCTGAAATAAATTCTCACTGAGACACAGAAGAGAAACAGATTTTAGAGAATGCCAACAACACTACAATTGAAAGGAAATGTTACTTACCCTGCATGAATGTTCTGGGATGTTATGATGCTCAGAATTCTTTTTTAATGTTGTTGCTTATCTGAAAAAAAAAAAAGAATCAAAATGAAATTTTTGGTATAGACTCATTACATTTATATGTATTAAATATCAAAAAAGAAAGAATATATCATTGTTTCCTGAAAACAATAAAGAACTCAAACACTAGTTAAGCAGAAGAAATCTGTTATGTTTATTGGAGGAGGGTCATGCACTTTAACATCAACAAATATTTTAACAAAATTTCCTCTAATTTTTAAATGCTTATTTTTAATATTAGCCTAAAGACTAATTTAATAAATAATCATTACTTGTGAAAAAGGAAAAATTAGTAATTTCAAAAAAGAATTTAGATGGCATCAAATTTAAAATTAAATTATCTAGATATATTTATTCCTGTTCTTTAGCAAAATGAGTCTTAGCTGTAGTATGAAAGACTTAGACTGAGTTAAAAATATAGTGCTAAAAATAAGAGAAGTAACAAAAAGCCTAGTAGGATTTTTTCACAGTAGGAAAGTAATGAATGACGATTTTTAAAACAAAAGTGTATCCTAGCTTGATGGAAAAAGAATTAACACAGAGTGTCATAATAATCAATGTAATCTGATGGTAATATAAAGTAATAACCAATATACACATTTTTCTCTATCTGTATTTATTTATCCAATGATATCTTCCCTCTTGGGCCACTTGACATAAGACATCCTTTGCCACATAAGTCAGTAATCTCAGTAGAATCAGAAAAAAAAATCATCAAGTATTAGAATTTAGTTTACAAAATAATTTTCTAGATGTAAAACTGCTATATTAAGGATAATAATTATTATGTCATTTGCCCTAATCTCCTTCACTACAATTTAAGAATAAAATATTTCTCCAGGGTATTAGGGAAAAAGAAAAATAAAAGCAGATAAATAATTGCCTTAATAGCATCAGAATTTTTGGGAAAAGTTTGTGTACTTTTTTCCCTGGGAATTAGCATACATAGGAATTGTGATAGAACTCCCAAATAAGTTGTGACATCCACAAGTAGACATATTTCTCAATCCCATGTGGTCACCACTCAGTATATACATGATATCTATATTGTATTATATACATACCCCACATACACACATATGGTAAAACTATTAAACAATAATTCTATTTATTGAGTTAATCATAAGAAAGTGTTGTCTTTGGGTAGAAAATAATGCTTCCCATTTTAGGTAATAAGTATTTGCAGTACATTTGATATACCTAAGTATAAGCTCTCAGTTACAAAATAAGATTTAGTGCTCAGGAGAGCAAATCATGGAGTTGAGAGTGTACACGGTTGTTCAGATAAAAGTACAGTGAGCACACAGAGCTGAGCACGTTGGGACAAAGTTTTCAGGAATACCAACATTGGAGGCTGGGAATATGAAGATAAGCTGATATACGAGACTGAAAGTGGAAAACCAGCAGAGAACAGACAGAAGCCAAGAGATGAGAAAGTTTCAAAGATTCTTGAGAATTTGATTGAATACGAATATTGTCTTCATTGACAATGGTGATTTTGTGACAATAATTTCACTTGATTTGTGGAGGAGAAAGAGAGATTTGAATATACTGATGATTGAGTATGAGTTGCAGAAATATAGAAAATTTAGAAAAAGTCTAACTATTATATGTAAAAAATACCACATTGTTTTGTGGATTAATCCAATCCTGAAAATTTGAACTCTGAATATCAGATACATTCATCTCCAATGCTTCATGAGATTTCTGTTCTTGTAATCTTTTGAAGAGAATGCATATTTATATTTATAAATTTATGTTGTAGTGTCCCTTTAGGCTTTGTTGGGAGCATGGCTAACATGGGATATTCTAAGGTACTATGATTATGGGATAAATCTCAGAAATCAATTCTGGCAGAAGGCGTGAGTGGTCATAAATTAATAACAATAAGGAAAAATATTTCTGAATGTTTAACTAAAACCACCATTTCTCAAATTTTCCAAGTCTGAGTGGCATGTAATAGTTGAATCTGTATGTAGGAATGATATTAAAAGATTATTTACAATTATATTTTATCTCCTAAGCTTTAAACCATTCAATCATAAGTATCTTCAATTGCCTGTTAAAGCTAGCCAAAGGTTCTAAAAAATAATCTTGGGGAAAGAAAATAGAAATAAATTGTGGGGCTAAAATAATTATTGGCATATTATGTCTTCTCTGAACAGAAAAAAAGTAAATGTAATACAAAATAAAATTCACTAGGCCTCTTTTCTGACTTTCATTTCCATTTTGCAGTTTTCTTACTTTTGCAATTTATTGACAAACCAATCTCATTGACAGCTGTGTATCATGCTAAAACTTCCACCTCTATTTTTAGGAAACCATTAGCTATCTAAGAAACTAATATTTATTAAAGAGTTTGCATTAAACATCTTCTTGAATGTTAATATACTTATAAATATGTAATTTTAATTTTAATCTAAATTTTATTTTCTTTACCTAATTAATATTACTTTGTGAATGGCAATGAAGAGGGTGAAAATGGCTTCATATGATCCTACTTATTATTGCATGTTATTAAAAAGTATTCTCTTTCCTAATTCATTTTTTAGGCATTTTTTCTTTTATTTTAGAATTCTGTGAACTTGGAGAACACTGTTTTTTTTTCCCCCAACAACCGACAGTCAGAGAACAGATGTTGAGGAGGATGAATGGTACACCTGACCTGTAATGTTTTCAACAGAATGTTTCTTTGGGTGTGTGAGAACTTCACAGCACATTGCAGATTAGCTTCCTGGCATCAACCTGTTAACTATTTCAAGATTCATTTTCACATATCTTTATTTTTTTTTCCTAGAACTAAATCAAATTATAAGAATACGTAAATATGTAGGCCAATGTGACACCAGTAGTGAAGGTGTTTTTTAATTATATTTATTTGTTTTCCTGCCTACTTAACATTTTCTCCCTTATTTTACTAATAACATTTACATCTTTCTTGAGGTAATTGTTCTCCCCCTTTTCCAATCAGTCCTGCTTTTGCTGCATTTATATTCACATCAGCAATATCTAAAGGTCCTTCTTTCTCCATATCCTTACGGACACTTCGTCTGGTCAGTCTTGTAAATTTTGGCTTTTGGAATAGGTGAGGTGATATCTCACTGTGGTTTTAATTTGCCTTTCTCTGACTAATTATATTGGCATTTCATCATGAACCTTTGCTTTTTCTATATGTCCCTCTTTTATTGAATTTATTTATTTTATGATTGTGTTTTGAGAATTTAATATATATATTTTATTTATTTATTTTATAAGTTCTGGGATACATGTGCAGGACATGCAGGTTTGTTACATAGGTATACATTTGCCATGGTGGTTTTCTGCACCTATCAACCCATCACCTAGGTATTAAGCCCAGCATGCATTAGCTATTTATCTTGATGTTCTCCCACCCCTGACCCCACTCCCAAGAGACTCCAGTTTGTGTTGTCCCCCTCCCTGTGTCCATATGTTCTCATTATTAAGCTCCCACTTATAAGTGAAAACATGGGGTGTTTTGTTTTCTGTTTCTGTGTTAGTTTGCTGGGGATAATGACTTTCAGCTTTATCCATGTTCCTGCAAAGGACATGATCTCATTCTTTTTATGTCTGCGTAGTATTCCATGGTGTATATGTACCACATTTTCTTTATCCAGCCTATAATTGATGGGCATTTGGGTTGGTTCAATGTCTTTGCTATTGTGAATAGTGCTGCAAGGAACATACACATGCACGTATCTTTGTAATGGAATGATTTATATTCCTTTGTGTATATACCCAGTAATGGGATTTCTGGGTCAAATGTTATTTCTGGTTCTAATTCTTTGAGGAATCACCACACTGTCTTCCACAATGGATGAATTAATTTACATTCTGACCAACAGTGGAAAAGTATTTGTATTTCTCCACAGCCTTGCCAGCACCTGTTGATTCTTAACTTTTTAATAATCTCCATTTTGACTGGCATGAGATGGTATATCACTGTGGTTTTGACTTGCATTTCTGTAATGATCAGTGATGTTGAGCTTTTTTTCATATGCTTCTTGGCCACGTAAATGTCTTCTATTGAGAAGTGTCTGTTCTTGTCCTTTGCCCACTTTTTAATGGTTTTTTTCTTGTAAATTTGTTTAAGTTCTTTGTAGATTCTGGATATTATACCTTTGTTAGATGGATAGATTGCAAAAATTTTCTCCCATTCTGTAGGTTGTTTGTTCACTCTGATGATAGTTTCTTTTGCTGTGTGGAAGCTCTTTAGTTTAATTAGATCCCATATGTCAATTTTTTTGCTTTTGTTGCAATTGCTTTTGACGTTTTCATCATGAAATCTTTGTCCATGCCTATGTCCTTGGTGGTATTGCCTAGTTTTCTTCTAGGGTTTTTTATAGTTTTGGGTTTTACATTTAAGTTTTTAATCCATTTTGAGTTAATCATTTATAAGGTATAAGGAAGTGGTCCAATTTCAATTTTCTGCATATGGCTAGCCACTTGTCCTAGCACCATTTATTAATTAGGGAATCATTTCCCCGTTGCTTGTTTTTTTCATGTTTGTCAAAGATCAAATGGTTGTAGGTGTGCAGTCTTATTTCTGAGATCTCTATTCTGTTTATTTGGTCTATGTTTCTGCTTTTGTACCAGTACCATACTGTTTTGTTACTGTAGCATTGTGGTATAGTTTGAAGTTGAGTAGTGTGATACCTCCAGCTTTGTGATTTTCCTTTAGGATTGTCTTGGGTATACAAGCTCTTTTTGGACTCCATATGAACTTTAAAATAGTTTTTTTCTAATTCTGTGAAGAATGACAATGGTAGTGTAATGGGAATAGCATTGAATTTATAAATTACATTGGACAGTATGGCCATTTTCATGATATTGATTATTCCTATCTATGAGCATGGAACGTTTATTCATTTGTTTGTGTCCTGTCTTATTTCTTTGAGCAGTGGTTTGTAGCTCTCCTAGAAGAGGTTTTTCATTCCCCTTGTTAGAAGCATTCCTAGGTATTTTATTCTCTTTGCAGCAATTGTGAATAGGAATTCATTCATGATTTAGCTCTCTGCTTGCCTATTGTTGGTGTATAGAAATGCTTGTGATTTTTTGCACATTGATTTTTTATCCTGAAACTTTGCTGAAGTTGCTTATCTGCTTAAGAAGGTTGTGGGCTGAGACAATGGGGTTTTCTAGATAAAGGATGATGTCATCTGCACAAAGAGGCAGTTTGACTTCCTCTCTTTCTATTTGAATAGACTTTATTTCTTTCTCTTGTCTGATAGCCCTGGCCAGAACTTCCAATGTTATGTTGAATAGGAGTGATAAGAGAGAGTATCCTTCTCTTTTGCCATTTTTCAAGGAGAATACTTCCAGCTTTTGCCCGTTGAGTATGTCGGCCATGGGTTTGTCATAAATGGCTCTTATTATTTTGACATATGTTCCATCAATACCTAGTTTATTGAGAGTTTTTAAAATGAAGGTAGGTTGAATTTTATACAAGGCCTTTTCTGCGTCTATTGAGATAATCATGTGTTTTTTTTTTCCTTAGTTCTGTTTATGTGATAAATCATGCTTATTGATTTGTGTATGTTGAACCAGCCTTACACCCCAGGCATGAAGCTAACTTGATTGTGGTGGATAAGTTTTTGCAGTTTATCAAATATATGATTTGCAAATATTTCTCCAGTCTGCATCTTGACTTCTTCTTTTAACATTGTCTTTCAAAGAGCAAAATCTATTAATACACATGAACAACAATTTATCAATTTGTATTTTATAGATTGTGCTATTGATGTCAAATCTAAGAAATTGTTGCTTAACCCAAAGTTCACAAAGATTGTAGTCTCTGTGTTCTTAAAATAAGTTTTAAAGTTTAAGATTTTTATATTCAGATGTCTGATCTACTTGTAGTCATTTTGTGTTTATGATACAATGACTAAGTTGAAGTCCATTTTTGTAATATTATATTTTTCCTGAAATATTTGTCAAAAATAACATTTATTTTGCTACATACATTTTAATGAGCTGTTATTAGGTAAATACATGCTTACAAATGTTTTGTCTGCTTACTAAATTGATCCCTTAATTATTATAAAGTAGCCTTCTCTATTCTAGTAATAATCCTTAGTCTAAAATGCACTTTGTAAGATATTAACATAGCTACTATAGTCCTCCTTAGACTAGTATTAAAATGGTATATTTTCCACAATTTTGCATTTAATCTAATTTTGGTTTCCTAATATAAGCCACTCTCTTGTAGTCAGCACATAGTTAGTTCTTTCTTTCTTCATCTAGTCTGATAATCTCTGTTGTTTAATTGAAATAGGATTAGGTTTAATTCTACTTGCTCACTTTTTAGTTTTCTATATTTCCCATAAGTTATCTGTTCCCATATTTTGTTGTGATTTTTTTATTAATTATTTTCTTGTAATTCTATTTCATCACCTTTGTTGGCTTATTAACTATAACTTGATTTTTTTTTATTTTAGTGATTTATTTTGCTTTAAGGTTTATAGTATACAAATTTCACTTAATCTAGTGTACCCATCTTGTGAAAGAATAAGAATTTAGGAAAGAAATCTTTAACAGGTGAAAAAACTGAAAGACGCTACATGATAAAAAATCTGGGAAAGTTAATGTACCAGGAAGCTGAGAAGCAAAGAAACTTAGTGTGAATGTGAAATAAAAATAAAATATAGTAGCAAAAAAAAAACAGAGTTAGAATAATAAAGACAAAGAAATCCAGAAAATTATTGTATATATTGATGATTTTGAAATTCCTGCCTTCGTTAAAAATATTATTTAACATTATGAAATAAACAAAAACACAAATATAAGATAATTGGCAACTTTTTTATGTGACCTTTATGCAATTCCATATCTATGTTATGTGCAATCCTAAAATTAATTGAAATAACTTCATAGAATAACAGAAAACTTTAATGCAGTACATACCAATTTTAAAATATTATTTGTAATATATTGTCCTAATGTTGGGATGGAATTTTTAAATGCTTATTTTAATAACTAATATTAAAATATTAATATATAATAATAAAACTATTTATATTGAATTAGTTTGTCATTGTTGCTAATTCTCAAAACATGGATATTTAAGATTAACCTTACTTCATATATAACAGCACAAATACTACTTTAAAAATAAAAAACTGGAAGTTCTATAAAAACAATGGATAAACCACCTTTTATAAATGTTTGTTGTTGCTCTAGGGATTTCAATATGTAGTTTAACTAATTATGATAATCTACCATTCATATCAACAAAAATAGAGTGTAAAAGCCTTAAATGTATGTATTTCTCTTCCTTCTTTCCTTATTCTGTACTACTTATGTCATGCATTATACTCTCAAATATTATGATCTGCACAGCAGGGTCGCCAATCCCCAGGCTACAGACCAGTATAGGTTCCTGGCCTGTTAGGAACCTGGACACACAGCAGGATGTGAGCTGCATGTGAGTGAACATTACCCCTTGAGCTGTGCCTCCTGTCAGATATCCATGGCATAAGATTTGCATAGGAGTGCAAACTCTATTATGAATGTGCATATGAGGGATCTAGGTTGCACATTCCTTATGAGAATATAATGCCTGATCTGATGTGGAAAAGTTTCATCCTGAAACCCTCCACCCACCCTCTGTGTGTGGAAAAATTGTCTTCCATGAAACCAGTCCCTGCTGCCAAGTTTGGGGACCACGGTTCTATAGTATAAAGTTACTTTTTTTTTTATTTAGACAATCAATTATCTTTAGAACAATGGAAAATAATTGAGCTTTGCATTCTTATTTTTATCTTTTCCTACCTTCTTCATTTCTTTGCATAGTTTCAATTTCCATCTGGATCCGTATTCCTTCTGTCTTAAAAAACCCCTTTTACATTTAGATTAGTGCAATCCTGTCAGCAATGGATGCTTCCACTGCTTATTTTTTAAAAAAAGTTCTCATTTAAATGTTATTAGTTATATATTTAATGGGTATACGATGATGGGTTGACTTTTTTTCAATTCTTTTAAGATTTCATATCAATGGCTTCTGGCCTATAGAAATTCTGACAAACAGTTCACTGTAATATTTATTTTTGTTCTTCTTTAGATAACATTCCTATTTTTCTGTGACGAAATTCAATATTTTTTTTTAATTCTATGGTTTTCAGCAGTTTGACTTGTACGATTATTCTAGGTGTGCTTAAATTTTGTACTAATTTTTCTTGGAGCTCTTTGAGGTTATCTGATTTCTTTAGTTATCTTTTCAAATATTTCTTCTCTCCAATTCTCTTTGTAATTTCCTTCATGGATTTCAATTAATTGTATTTTAATCCATTTTACGCTATCACAGAATTCGTGGACTCTCTTGAATTTTTGTTTGTTTGTTTGGTTTTGTTTTTCTTTGTTTGTTTGTTTTTCCCCTGTGCTTCCTTTTAAATAATTTATATTGGACCTACTATAAAACGTAGTGCCTCTTTCTTTAGCTCTGACCAGTTCACTAATCAGCTTTCCCATGTGATTCTTCATTCCTGTTCTCATATTTTCATTTGTTTCTAGCATTTGTCTTTCATTTTTCCCATCTCTGATGAAATTCCTCATCTGTTCATACAGGGTGTCTTTTTTTTTACTAAATCCTTTAAAATTTTGATCATTATTATTTTAAATTACTTGCATGTGTGTTCCAACATCTATATTCTCTCTAAGTTTGATTCTGTTGATTTCACTACATTTTGACAACATTCCTTTTGTTTTGTTTTTGCCTGCTTTTATGTGCCTCCCAATTTATAAAGTAATGCAAATCATCAGGGGTAGAAAAGTAGTAAATCATGAGATCATTATTTATGCTCTGCTTATTTTATACTTTTGTTTTTTCATGATATTAGTCTGGGCAGGAGCAAGAGTTAAGTCAATATTTTCAAAGTTGACCTGGGTTGGGTTTTGTCACTGTTGTCAGAACATTCAGTGAACCATATAATTCAAATTCCTCCATCAGTGGGGCTGCTACTATCCTGTATCCAGTCTGGGGCCTGAGGCTCTGAAGGGCATATGCCAATGCTCCTGTTCCACTATTAGTTTTAGCAATCCCTACACACCTGTGTAATAGAAATGGTCTCCCTCCACTTTCTTGTTCCTCTTTAACTATAGAACAATATTTCTTTTGACTAGGTACAAAATTTATATTGTGAGCAGAGGGATGATTCAGGTTATTTTTGAGCCAGCCTGAAAATCAGACACTCAGAGATAGGTTATTCTCAGCACTTCCTAACTCTCACTCTAGTAGGAGTCAAACTGTCACTTATCTGTATTAGTTTTTTTTGAGAAGAAATACTACCTTGCCCTCCTCCCACCTCAGTGGTAGAAAACCTTTGCTTTATATTATTGCATGTCTCTTACACCACAACAGGGACACAATATTTTGTTTCTTCTTGCATAGGATCAATGCACCTTTGGTTTTCCCACTCTTGACCATAGGTGCACATTTCTGCTTTAGTGCAAAATCTGGGGCCCCAAAACAATCCTTGTCCCTCCCCTGGTGCAGAAGTAGTTTTGCTCCACACCTTCCCAAGAAGCAGTAATCCTTTCGCTGGTCCCAGATGGGGATGGAATGGGGCATGAGAGGTTTATTAAGCTACTCTAAAGGCTGATGTGTTTTGCACCTAATGATCTCCCAGAAACAGTAAAATTTTGCCTGCATTTGTGGAACCAGATAATTTTCTGTCTCGGCCATTTAAGGGTTTTGATTCTTAGGAGAGAAGCCAATGTTCATGTAGTTGCATATATTTTGTTTTCAGTTTCCTTATCTCAGTAGTGATGAGTTGAATTGAATCATTATTTTCAATTTAAGCCTCTTGCAACTCTAATATTAAGTTACTTTTTTCATAAGTCCTAGTTTGACATTTCAGCACTAAATCAAGTGCAGACACTCATCAGTTATGTGAATAAAGTATTTTGATTGAGATCAAAATTGTCGACTTAGACACAAATTGGCATATTAACCTTCTCAGCACCATATGACACTGGTTCAAAATGTAAAATGCTCTCTATGCTTAACAAAGAATGACTCTTGAAACTGTCATTTTTCTGTGACAAAAGAAAGTAACCAAACAAAAATACTCAATGCTTTTTATCTCATGACTAGATTATTAAAATAATTACATACCTGATCTTCGTTTTATAATCTCTTTTCAAAACATTTTCTTAAGAACTACTTTGATTAGTCTCTTTTGAATAATGTTGGACTGTATTTTCCTCAGAAACTCATCAGGGTCAATATTGCATTTAAATTTTTTGTAAATATTTTCAATTTTGTTTCAAGTCTTAGTTGAGCTGAAAGATTTCCAACAAATGCCTTCTATGCCACAAAGCATTATTCCATCTTCCCTGTTCTTCCTTAAGTTCATTTATGAATTCTTTTATTAAGACATTCATGTAAGACTTGTTTTTCTTAAATATGACTATATAGTATTTTCAGTCTGAACACAAAATAGTGCCCTAACTTAAATGCAAGTTCTTTTAGAAACAATTAAATGTCCTATATGAGGAGAATCAATAGCATCAACATTATTACAACCCATTTTTCTGTTTGCAATAAAGCATTAGCAAATATTTATTGAGAAATTACTACCTGGCAGAAACTATGATGCATTTAATACACATCACATCACAAAAACTGAATACCTAGGTACTACCATTGTTACAATTTTAAGAGTGAACATATTGAGTCACAAAGATGTTAATCAATGTGCCCAAATAGCAGAGGGAAAATTGGAATTCTGAAATTCAGAGTATGCTGTACACACAGTGATAGGAAAATCAATGCTTACCAAATGTCACTATCAAGCTATTGTAAATATTAGGAGGCCTTTGAGTTGCTAGACTGAACACATTTAAGCAGATAATGCTATTACTTAGTTAAATCTATTTCATTAAAGCAAAATTTTGGGTATAACTTATCAAGAATTTTCATAATTGTAACCATTTTATTTCAAGTTTAATATAGCTCTGATTATTGGATAATGAGGGATAAAGTTTTCTGTATCATAATTCAACTTGTACTCTTTATTTAAGGTAACATATAAGGATTTGAATTCAACTCAAACATTTATTAGCAAATTAAATTTCTTGTTCGTGATTTCAAATTTTTGTTGAAGATATAAATATTAAATGATCTCACCAATTTAAATTAGATTAACAGAGAATAATGCTGAGTTTTAGTAACAATAATAGAATGAACTATACAGTTTCTTCTCTCTCTCTCACTCCTTTTTAAAACATTTTTATTTTTGTAGATTCTTTAGAATCCCATAGGTACAGTCTTGAGAATTAAAAAAAAAAACACTCAGAGGAACTGCCTAACTTGAGATAGAATATATTGTCATTGTGATTTCGGGTTGAAATAGCTAACTAAGGTTTATAGAAATTGTATACTGAAATACAGGCACTGGAAAAGAAAGGGGATTGAATGAAATGTTCTACTATGCCATCAGGAATCTCAGCCACTCACTTTTGAGGGAGCTGCAGGAGCTTTGTCACAAACAAAGATTATTAAGAGAGATTATAAAGGTTGTAACCTCAAGAAAGATAATTAAAACTTCAGTGTTTCTCCATTTTCCCCGCAGGTTTTCTCCCACAAGGTTATTACACTTTATAAGAATGCTTCACTTCAGAAAAACAAATACCAAGATCTTATTGCAAATTATTTTTAAGGGCAAAACTATATTTCATGTTTAATTTATTTAGCTTACTCTGTAGCTAATATTTCATGCTGAACACATTTTTTGGAAAAAAATTATGTAAGGGAGATGATATAATTTATGGAGCATCAGCTGCCTCTTAGGTAGTTTAAAAAGAATTTGAAAAGAAAGGGCCCTAGAAGATACTTCTTGATCTTGTAGAATTCTGTGTCATTGACTCAAGTTTGTATAGCATCTCATTAATTATAAATACAAACAAAAACTTAGATGAATTATTCAAAACACTAAATTTCCATTATATATATAAAAAAACAACTACCAGATGAAGAAATCAGGTCAGTGTTATTGGAATTGCATCCTATTAATTTTTTGTTCTGTGTACTCATGTTTTACTTATAGGGGCTACTTATAACTTCTACTGTTTTCAAAATTATTTTATGCAGTCAGTATGATAATGTAATTTTAGTCTATATGATGCTTTTCCACAATTTGATTATTGGAAATAAGAATACAGTAATATTATTGAACAAAATTGACTGGTTTGATAAAATTTTCCTAGTAAATCTGATTGAAAAAAGAGATGTTTTATGGTTTTCTTACATATGTATTGGTATGTTCTAGATAACCTTATCTGAAATTAAGGCTCTTGAAATTCTTTTTTTTTTTTCTTTTTTTTTTTTTTTGAGACAGAGTCTCGCTCTGTTGCCAGGCTGCAGTGCAGTGGTGCGATCTCTGCTAAGGGCAACCTCCGACTCCCTGGTTCAAGCGATTCTCCTGCCTTAGCCTCCCAAGTAGCTGGGATTATAGGCACGTGCCACCATGCCCAGCTAATTTTTGTATTTTTAGTAAAGACAGGGTTTCACCATGTTGGCCAGGAGGGCCTCAATCTCCTGACCTTGTGATCTGCCCGCCTCAGCCTCCCAAAGTGCTGGGATTACAGGCATGAGCCACCACACCCGGCCGAAATTCTAATTATATGCAAACTTTTAAAATATCATTATGAAACTCTACATAATATACTACATTCCTATGCTTTAATTGCAGGGTGTTTTTATTCTGGAAAGACATACAGAACATAAAATGTATCTTTTTAATCATCATAAGTGCATGGCTCTGTGGCATTAAGTATATTTGCACTGTTTTGGAACCATCATCACCATACATCTCCAGAACTTCTCTTCTTTTCCAACCAAAACTCTGTACCCATTAAACATAACTCCCCTCCTTCCAGACTCTGGCAATCACCATTCTACTTTCTGTCTCTACTAATTTGACATCTCCAAGTAACTCCTATAATTGGCATCACACAATATTTTATTTTTGTGAATGGTTTCTTTCACTTACCATAATGTCCTTAAGTTTCATCTATCTTGTAGAATTTGTCAGAATTTATTTTTTAAGGCTGAATAATATGTTGTAGTGTACACTACATTTTGTTTATTCACTTATCCATAAATATTCACTGGGGTTGCTTCCTCCCTTTGGCTATTATGAATAATATTGCTAATGAAAATCCTGCACAAATATCTGTTTGAGTCCCTGCTTTAATTTAATTAGATATGTATATGTATTTGTGATACAAAGCAAAAATTACACAACTTTCTTAAAGTCTCAAAAAGGAGCATAACATTAGTAAAATATTAGAAAGTAGATTAGGGAAAAAAAAGGAGAGAAATGAAACCCAAAGTAAATAAACAGCATAAGACAGTTCCAAGAGAAGAAAAAAAAAAGAGTAAGAATATAAACGTAAAATTAAAAAGTGGTTTGCCAGGTGCTGTGGCTCACGCCTGTAATCACAGCACTTTGGGAGGCCGAGGCAGGTGGATCACTTAAGGGCAGGAGTTCGACAGCCTGGCCAACAGAGTGAAACCCCATCTCTACTAAAAATACAAAAATCAGCCGGGCATGGTGGTGGGTGCCTGTAATCCCAGCTCCTAGAAAGGCTAAAGCAGGAGAATCGCTTGAACCCGGAGGCAGAGGTTGGAGGTTGCAGTGAGGCGAGATCGCGCCACTGCACTCCAGCCTAGGCAACAGAGTGAGACTCTTGTCTCAAAAATAAATAAATACATAAATAAATAAATAAATAAATAAATAAATAAAATAAAAAGTGGTTGGATTAGTATTTATATAATTGTCATATGTAGTTATATGTTTGCTTATGAGCCGATTTTGTATTCTTTTCGTGTTCCAGTTTTTAAAAAGTGTCACAGGATCCTTGGGTGTCGCTACGCCAGCCAGAAACCTCTGTGGTTAGCGGTGCCTTCTGCTTGAGTATTGCTCTTACCTGTTGATCTTGTTCTGCCCACTCAGCCCAGCAGGCTGTACTCAGCTTGGGCTACCAGCCCAGATCCCACGCCTGCCAAGGGCCAGCTAGGAGTGGGGCAGCGAGGGCTGTGTGAGGGAGCAAGCGGCTGAGGCAGAAAATTATCTGGTTCCACAAATCCAGGCACATCGGCTACTGCAGCGGGATGGGCAGCTCCAGGTGCCTGCGCAGGTACCGGCACCGTGTACTGCAAGAGGCTTCCACTGGGGTCATAAGCGTGGTAATGCCCAAAAGCTCAGAGATGCCAGAAATTGCAGAGCCCAAAAGAGGCGTGTCTCAGCCCTGGTTCGGGGAGCCCTGAGGTCTGTGCTCCCAGAAAGGCTGCAGCTCTTCTCTCTTTCTGTTCTTCTGCAGCACAAGCGAGGGGGCAATTTCGGGGGTGGGATGTGATTCGGTCCATTTGTGTGACAGCTTTCAGTCTCTCCGCCCTACTCTGGTTCATGGAAACTGGCCCTGGTGCTGCTTCCTGTTACGTGGGGCGGCCACCCGGCATAGATGGAGGGGATTAGTGTCACAGCAGGTCTGGCCCAGGGAATCCCGAGTTCTGGGCCCCCAAGGAGGGTCGCCACTCTTCACTCCCACAGTCAGGGAGCGTTTGACCACCGGCAACCCTGTGAGCCGGCCAGCGTGTTACAGCTCCTTTCGCTCCCGCTGTTTGGCAGGTCCTGAGTTCTCGTCCCCCATCCAGGAAAAATCAGGTTATACTGAGGACAACTGGAGGGTGAGCAAGGTGGAGGGGAGCTTTACTGAAAGAACAGCTCTCAGGAGACCCAAAGTGAGTAGCTCCTTTCTGCAGGCAGGTCGTCCCAGTGAGTCTGACTGAAACTAGACTCAGAATGGAGGAAGTGAATGCTGATTGGTCTATGGGCAGCCATGGGCGGGCCTGGAAAAAGCACCATCCGGGTAGCGGACTCCACCCGGAACTGGTAGCGTGGCCCCTAGCCTTTGGGTCATCCCTGGCTTGAAGGTGGGGTTTCACTGGGGACCCAGCTCTTCCCGCCCGGAAACCTCTTAGCCTCCCACCGCCATCAATATACCGGCTGCGGTGCCCAGGCTGTCCACGCTAAGGGGTGCCCACAGGCCCATGCCGAGCCACCCTCAGCCCCGCAGCCTCCCTCACGTTCTCGTTAGTGCCCAGAGTCTGGAGGGGGCTGAGGCGGCTGGAGGCTGGTGTGTCAGCAGCCCTATATCACGCACATGTCTGTCTGGGTCGCAACAGTTCCCCGGGCTCAGCCACAACTTTGCTTCACACCAAAGCAAGCCCTGGGAGCAGGGAGAGGCCAGGGAACATGAGCAAGCACTTCCTAGCCTGCAAGGTCAGGGTGTTTCCCAGGCCCCCAAGAGCACAGGGCTGCCCAGGTCCAGAGCCACAGCTGGGCCGCTGCAACTGCACCTGGGAGCATGGTGGGAGCATGGTGCTCGCGTCCCGCCAGCTCTGTAAGGTGCAGGGTTCTTGCCTGTTTCTGGCCCCGGCTGGTTCTGTGAAGCATGCAGGCCGGACTGCACCTCCCCCACTGCAGCTGGCGCTCTCGCAGTGGCCACTCCAGAGGGGGCACCACTGCCATCAAAAGTAAGTACAATTTGAGAGTTTTGTGATGCTAAATAAACTGAAACATGCCATGTTTTTGGATATATTGTCCTTGAAAACAGGCTGAGTGTTATTAAGTACAATTATAACAAGATATAATAGCACAGCCACTGTGCAAAATTCAGAAAAAATAAAATGTATATTATATGAATATATTTGGTTTATATATAATATATATGCGTGTTTGTGTGTATATATATACTTTTTTCAAAACCCAGTTGTATTACCCAATTAAATTATGATTTAAGACCGTCAATGGAAAGAGAAAAAATTAAAATAACAACGTTTACAATAGTATCAAAATGTATAGTACTTAGGGATAATTCTGAAAACAACAGGAAACATCTGTACCCTTGAAACTATAAAATATTGCTGAGATAAATAAAGACCTAAATAAATGGAATGGAATTTCTAAGCTGTAAATCTCAATACTGTTAAGATGTTTACTCCGCCCACATCGATCACCCCAATCAAATCCTAGCTGGATTTCTTCTTTTAGAAATTATGTAGCTGAAATTCTGAAATTTCCTTAGATGGTCAAAGGACCTAGAATGGCAAATCACCTTGATAGGCAACAAATTTGGAAAACTAAAAGTACCTAGTTTCAAGACTACGTATAAAATTAGAGTAATTAAGATAATGTAGTACTAATAAAGAAGTATGCATGTGTGATCAGCTAGTTTTTTAACATAAACATAATATTTTACTATTTTTAATCCAAGTTTATAGAAAAATTTGTTTTATTTTCTTTAACATTATTAAATTAACATGACTGCGTTTTTATACTGCCATCGTAATTACATTATTAGATTGCTACCTTATAAATTTTCATATAATCTAAAGGTTTTAATGTAAAATGTTCATGATGTTAAGATGTACGTACTATAAATTGCAGAATTGAGATTTTTTTTTTTAAGTTCTGGGATACATGTGCAAAACGTGCAGGTTTGTTACATAGCAGCATGGTGATTTGCCGCACCTATCAACCTGTCATCTAGGTTTTAAGCCTCACATGCATTAGGTATTTGTCCTAATGCTCTCCTTCCACTTGTCCTCCACCCCCGACAGGCCCTGGTGTGTGATGTTCCGCTCCCTGTGTCCATGTGTTTTCATTGTTCAACTCCCACTTATGAGTGAGAACATGTGGTGTTTGGTTTTCTGTTCCTATGTTAGTTTGCTGACAATGATGGCTTGCAGCTTCATCCATGTCCCTGCAAAAGGAATGAACTCATTCTTTCTTAGGGCTGCATAGCATTCCATGGTATATATGTGCCACATTTTCTTTATCCAGTTTATTGTTGATGGGCAATTGGGTTGATTCCAAGTCTTTGCTATTGTAAATAGTGCTGCAGTAAACATATGTGTGCATGAGTCTTTATAGTAGAATGATTTATAATCCTTTGGGTATATACCTAGTAATGGGATTGCTGGGTCAAATGGTATTTCTGGTTCTAGATCCTTGAGGAATTGACACACTCTCTTCCACAATGGTTGAAGTAATTTACACTCCCACCAACAGTGTAAAACATTCCTATTTCTCCACAGCCTCACCAGCATCTGTTGTTTCCTGACTTTATAATAATCGCCATTCTAACTGGCATGAGATGGTGTCTCATTGTGGTTTTGATTTGCATTTCTTTCATGACTATTGATGATGAGCTTTATTTTATATGTTTGTTGGCCATATAAATGTCTTCTTTTGAGAAGTGCCCGTTCATATCCTTTGCTCACTTTTTGAGGGGTTGTTTTTTTTCTTGTAAATTTGTTTAAGTTCCTTGTAGATTCTGGATATTAGACATTTGTCAGATGGATAGATTGCAAAAATTTTCTCCCATTCTGTAGGTTGCCTGTTCACTCCGATGACAGTTTCTTTGCTAACCAGAAGCTCCTTAGTTTACTTTGATCCCATTTGTCAATTTTGGCTTTTGCTACAATTGCTTTTGATGTTTTAGTCATGAAGTCTTTGCCCATGCCTATGTCCTGAATGATATTGCCTAGATTTTCTTCAAGGGTTTTTATGGTTTTAGGTTTTACATTTAAGTCTTTAATCCATCTCGAGTCAATTTTTGTATAAGATGTAAGGAAGGGGTCCGGTTTCTGTTTTCTGCCTAAGCCTAGCCAGTTTTCCCAGCACGAATTATTAAATAGGGAATCCTTTCCCTATTGCTTGTTTTTGTCAAGTTTGTCGAAGATCAGGTGGTTGTTGATGTGTGGCGTTATTTCTGAGATCTCTGTTCTTTTCCATTGGTCTATATATCTGTTTTGGTGCCAGCACCATGCTGTTTTGGTTACTGTAGACTTGTAGTATAGTTTGAAATCAGGTAGCGTGATGCCTCCAGCTTTGCTGTTTTTGCTTAGGATTGTGTTGGCTACATGGGCTCTTTTTTGGTTCCATATAAAATTTAAATTAGCTTTTTCTAATTCTGCAAAGAAAGTCAATGGTAGCTTGATGGGAATAGCATTGAATCTATAAATTACTTTGGGCAGTATGGCCATTTTCACAATATTAATTCTTCCTATCCATGACCATGGATTTTTTTTCCATTTATTTGTGTCTTCTCTTATTTCCTTGAACAGTGGTTTGTACTTCTCCTTGAAGAAGTCCTTCACTTTCCTTGTAAGTTGTATTCCTAAATATTTTATTCTCTTCATAGTAATTGTGAATGGGAGTACACTCATGGTTTGGCTGTCTACTTGTCTATTATTGGTGTATAGTAGTGCTTGTGATTTTTGCACATTGATTTTATATCCTGAGACTTTGCTGAAGTTGCTTATCAGCATAAGGAGTTATTGGGCTTAGACAATGCGGTTTTCTAAATATACAATCGTGTCATCTGCAAACAGAGACAATTTGACTTCCTCTCTTTCTGTTTGAATACCCTTTATTTCTTTCTCTTGTCTGATTGCCCTGGCTAGAACTTCCAATAGTATGTTGAATAGGAGTGATGAAAGAGGGCACACTTATCTTGTGCTGCTTTTCAAAGGGAATGCTTCCAGCTTTTGCCCATTCAGTATGATATTGGCTATGGGTTTGTCATAAATAGCTCTTATTATTTTGAGATATGTTCTATCAATACCTAGTTTATTGAGAGTTTTTAGCATGAAGGGATGTTGAATTTTATTGAAGGCACTTTTCTGCATCTATTGAGAAAATCAAGTGGTTTTTGTCCCTGGTTCTGTTTATGTGATGGATTACGTTTATTGATTTGCGTATATTGAACCAGCCTTGCATCCCAGGGATGAAGTGACTTGATCGTGGTGGATAAGCTTTTTGATGTGCTGCTGGATTCGTTTTGCCAGTATTATATTGAGGATTTTTGCATCGATGTTCAACAGGGATATTGGCCTGAAATTTTCTTCTTTTGTTGAGTCTTTGTCAGTTTTTGGCATCAGGGTGATGATGGCTTCATAAAATGAGTTAGGGAGGAGTCCCTCTTTTTCTATTGTTTGGAATAGTTTCAGAAGGAATAGTACCAGCTCCTCTTTGTACCTCGTGATACAATTCAGCTGTGATTCTGTCTGGTCCTGGGCTTTTTGTTTTGTAGGCTATTGATTACTGCCTCAATTTTAGAACTTGTTATTGGTCTATTTAGGGATTCAACTTCTTCCTGGTGTAGTCTTGGGAGGGTGTATACGTCTAGGAATTTATCCATTTCTTCTAGATTTTCTGTTTTATTTAGGTAGATGTGTTTATAGTATTCTTTGATGGTAATTTGTATTTTGTGGGATCAGTGGTGATATCTCTTTTATCATTTTGTGTGTGTGTGTGTGTGTGTGTCTATTTGATTCTTCTCTCTTTTCTTCTTTATTAGTCTGGCTAGCGGTATATCTATTTTGTTAATCTTTTCAAAAAAACAGCTCCTGGATTCATTGATTTTTTAAGGCATTTTTCGTGTCTACATCTCCTTCATTTCTTCTCTGATCTTAATTATTTCTTGTCTTCTGCTAGCGTTTGAATTTGTTTGCTCTTGCTTCTCTAGCTCTTTTAATCGTGATGTTAGTGTGTCAATTTCAGATCTTTCCTACTTTCTGATATGGGCATTTAGTTTAGTGCTATAAATTTCCCTCTTAACACTGCCTTTGCTGTGTCCCAGAGATTCTGGTATATTGACTCTTTATTCTCAGTGGTTTCAAAGAACTTCTTGATTTCTGCCTTAATTTCGTTATTTACGCAGTAGTCACTCAGTAGCAGGTTGTTCAGTTTTAGTGTGGTTTTGAGTGAGTTTCTTCATCCTGAGTTCTAATTTGATTGTACTGTGTTCTGAGAGAATGTTTGTTAGCTAATTTTTAAAAAAGTTTTTAGACAATTCATGGGCATAAGGTTAACATTTTGAACAAATGCTGCTGAAACAATTAGATATCCAAGTGTGTGTGCATGTTTGTCTGTCTGTGTATTTAGGTACTTCACACCTGAGAGGTATGAGTGTGCATTACAAAGTTCACTAGGAAGTTTTGGGACTTTTGGACATGTTTATTATCTTGTTTATGATGATTATTTAATGGGCACATGCATATGTCAAAATCATGTCATTTACACTTTGAATATGTGCAATGTGTTGTATTTTAATTAAACATAAATGTAAAAATGTTATTAATATATACACTTGCTATGCTTTTATTCATTTTACTGTATATATGTGTAAATCTTCAGATAGAAAACCCAATGAAGAGATATATTTTATAAAGTAAAAAAGAAAAATATGGGTAAGAGATTACTAAGATTTTTTTTTAGTGCAATGCTGGGTTTGTCTTACTATTGAGAGGCATTTTTTGTGCAGAAATAGTAGAAAAGATGAAAAATTCTCTCCAGTAGAAGAGAAATTTATTTCTGTCCAATGAAACAGATAACTACCAAAGATTATGGCTTCTGGCTATGTTGGATACTAACCAGTGTTGGAACTAACTAATAATCTTACCTCAACATTGGCTATAAAGCAATTTTAATGTTCCTTGTAATGATGTTAATATGTTACTGGAACCCGAATCACTTAATGAGTTGAATAACATCTTTGATACAAATTAATTTTATATTTGCATTAGAGTCATAATTTTACCTGTTAGAAAATTATACTTTAATAAATAAGGTAATTAAACACATGAAATTGTATGTTTTTTAATGTTGCAAATGTGGTGTGACTCCTTATGCATATTTAAACCCTTATTTGATTAAGGATAGCAAATGCAGAATAAACTACTGTAGTAGAAGTGTAAACAGAACTGTTGAAAGGTTTTAAAAACTGAGCTGGAGCTAGGGACCCATGCTGCCTTTTTTATGTCTAAAATATCTGATTGAATGAAAGTTTCTTTGAACATTGTTTGAACCTGTGGCATAATAAATAGTATATTATGCTTTAGAAGCAAGTACATCATTAAAATCATTGTAATAAAAATTCACATATGTATAGATCTATTAGTTTGTCTGAATTTTGATCAGCATGAAAAACAATAATACTTTTATATTTTTCTGGTATACTGCCAAATTGCAGTGAAACAGCATTCACTTTACACTTTTGAGAAACCAATTTTAAATTTCCAGCTTCCAGCAGGTTTTCTGTTATGACTCCAACTACAATATCTTTCCAAACACCACAGTCCTTACAACTTATAAGCTATATATATAGGCAACTTGTTTCAAGTGCAAATAAACTCTACTTCCTCATATTTTGCAGGAACCTTCAGCTGTTTGCATTTGCTACTCAAAGGCAAGGGTTAAATTGAATTAAACTACTCTCAATTGTCACATGAGGGAGAAAACTTTTTTCTCCTTTATCCCAGCACTTATAATTTTTATTCAGGAGTTAATTTATTCAAGCTACCATAATGTGGTGGTTAAG
Source organism: Homo sapiens (assembly GCF_000001405.40). Taxonomy (NCBI): domain Eukaryota; kingdom Metazoa; phylum Chordata; class Mammalia; order Primates; family Hominidae; genus Homo; species Homo sapiens. Next base: position 30,568,530 of record NC_000009.12, on the reverse strand, counting down.
CATATAAACGGTAAGTAAACTGTATACTCAAATAATTACTAACAAATATTTAACATTTTAATAAAATAATGTATGATTTAGTCAATTTCCATTTTTAAATTTCTATAGACAATAATACCTATCAAATTATGAAAATTAAATTTAAACATATTTGTTATAGTAGTATGGCTAACTAGATAACTTGCAAACAATCCTAAATAAAATAAACATGCACAAAATATTAAGTAAAATTAAATATACATATATATGCCCATAAATATATATGCGTGCCCATTATCACCATTGTCTGAAGTTGGTTTCCTCCCATAATTTGTGCATTGAAACCCAGTCTCCAATGTAATAGTACTAAAAGATAGGTTTTTGTGGGAGGTGACTAAGTCATGAGGACAAAACCCTCATGGATGAGATTAGTACTCTTACCAAAAGAGGCCCAAGGGAGTTTTTTGTCCCTTATACAATGGGAAGTCTCAGCAAGAAGGCACTATCTATGAGAAAACCGGCCTTCGTCAGACAAGAAATTTGCATGTCCGTTATCTTGGACGTCCCAGTCCCGAAAACTGTAAGAAATAAATTTTTGTCCTTTATAAGCCACTCAGTTTATGATGTTTTTGTTATAGCAGCCCTAAGACAAGAGTATATGTGTATCTACTTGTATGTATGAATCTATGAATGTATATGTATGTGTATATATATACACACACACACGTATGTATACACATGTACATGTATTCATGTATATATGTCTTGTATATAATATATATGCATGTACAGGTGTGTACAAAATGTACAAACATGTACATATATGTATATGTACACTATAGTGTGTGTGTATCTAATAACACATTGGGAAGCCAGTGTCAAAGAATCCACAGAAGCACAATCCAAAGTTATAGATATCTTGGAGGTAAGGAACTCTTTATGTGCCTTTTTTTTTTTTTTTCCAAAAAAAAAAAAGGTAATCTTGATCGTGGTAGCTTAGGAATTTGAGAACAGAATAGTTATGATTTTCCCCAAATGAGTTGTTTAATACACATAAAGCTTAGACCATTAAAAGGATACATTTTCATGGGAACGTAAATGAGAAATTTACACAAATCATAGGAAAATATGGAAAAAAATATATCTTTACTTTGGAACTGAGTAGGGAAAAATAAATTACTTCTGAGATTTCTAAACACAAGAGATACCACATCTGAGATTTTTTGTGCAGGTTTATTCTACCTGGTCTGAAAGTCTCCAGCAGAAAAATACAATTTACAGTGGTTGCAGTTTGGTAGTGCTTCTGGAAGATTAGTAGCAGCAGTCTTAAATCCTTGTGGAGCTCAGCTTCATCCAGTTCTCAAGGAAATACCCATGGATAAACTTTTAAAGATAAACCACCATTCACAGTTAAAACAGCAATAACAGTAAAAACAACTATGATAATTCAACATGAAAAGTCAGAGGACAAACAGTAACAAGAGATACCAAGAAACGATCCACAAAGACATCAAGAGAGTTGATAAACACTACATGTAAAAAAAGTGTCTATATATTCAAAATTAACAGAAAAACTTGAAAATATAAGAAGGTTCAAAAATCCATGAAAAATAACCAAGATTTGAAAGTAAAAAAATTCAAGATTCTTGACATAAAAATATAATTATTGTAATTAAAAGCATAATGCAGAATTCTGCTTCTAAGTAAGACACAGTGTATCATGGTGTGCCATGAACTAAAAAAGGAGCAAGATAAATTTATAAAAATCATATTATCGTATTACAGTTCATGAAGGGCTATGAAAGCAAGAAAAACTAAATAATTTAAAAATTTTAGGGACGATAAACTTTTGTAAAATGAACAAGTATTTTCATGTATTTTTTCCCTGTGGACATTTGCTAATTTCAGGCATCATCTGAAATTTGGGCTTGGTTTGGAAAGACCTCTGATGGGGTTAAGGGAAATCAGTAAATCTGGTAGTAGTTGTAAGGAACTGGAATGTAAATTGTAAAAGTAAAAGTACCACAACTGAAAACTCACTAGTTTCTTTATGGGCTATTTGTTGATTTGTGAATCTGCATCAGAGACTGGAAAGCTAGGCTAAATGTAAATGAAAGGCAGAATGAAATCTCCTGCAGTCTTTTGACGACTAGATAAGAAAACAACAATCTGACGGAAGAGGACTTCCTCAAGCACAGGCTGGTTTTTCACTTAAAAATGTGTCAGATTTTGAAATTTAGTGGTCAGAAACCTGGAGAATTGGGATGAACAGATGAAGAACAAAATTATATTTCTCATAGTGTTTTATGGCTGAAGGGAAGTAAACCTGTGAACTTTTAATTAAAAACTGAGAATCACATATTAGGAAATGTGTGAACAAAACATACATTAGTCTTCCTAAAACTGCAAACAAAATATTACAAAAGTCAAAATAAACCTGACCGTTTTGAGATTATCAGTTCCTTGCTTCTCTAACATATGAATGAACAAATCTTCCCTGGTGCATGACAATATGATGGGGGCATATTTTATATATGTAATTTCACCATACATAATAATTTAACTAGATGTATGAAGAAGCAAGAACCTATTAACAATAAGAGAAAATATAAACAATAGAACTAGACCCACAAATGACTCAGAGGACTTCTTTAGCAGAAAAATACTTTAAAGTAACTATGATTAATACGTTCTAACAATGCAGAATGATAGACAAACTAAACAAACATTGATCAGTTCAAATATAATTATAGTAAAATAATAAAAAAGATAATCTTGAAAAAGAGAAAACTGAATTTGATTGCAATGGTTTAACTAGTATTAGACTTGACCTTCTCTAAACAACATGAAATTTCAGAAAACATGTTTTCAAACTTCAGACAGCCAGAAGGCTAGGAGAGGGATCTCCTAGTTTTCTGCCTAGAAGCACTTTCTGGACTTCAGAACAAGGAGGAAGAATACAAGCAGAACAGGGCAATCACACTGAGTTTAAGAGTCAAGAGTTTGTAGTTTAAAAAGCCTGAGCTAGCTGGATTTCCAGGAAAGACTAAAAAGTAACTGAGAAGTATATGTAAATGAAAGACTAGAAATCTGTATAGATTTCCCTGAGAATGCTGCTAAATACCAGGGTATAATTAACAGGAAGAATCATCATGCAGATCCACAAAGCACTATCAGAAAGCCGTAAAATGAAGAATTTGTAAATTATTCACAGAACTGAGACATTTTAAACACTTAAAATATTATATTACTAAGAACTACAATATTCAAAAATATTCATTATTTAGGACATGCTTAATGGACTGCAAATAATAAAATATTGTAGAGAAATTACAAAAGATACTTTAACACAAAGTCCAATTTACCTCCCCATTAGAATGCATGGTCTCTATAAACAGAAACGTTGTTGAATCATCAATAACTTTAATATTACATTGTGCATAGCAATTACTTAAAAATTTTTCTGTTGCATGAAACACTAATAACTATGTTGTTCTATTTTATAGAATATATGTATATAATTATGTTCAGTAATACTATGGACTATCATTTTTAGTTACCATTGCCAGATTCCTTATGGGATTCTCAACTTTCTAAAAAGCATTCTTAAAACAATTAATTGACTTACCTGGGTCACACACATGTTAATAGAAAATCAACATTCAAACTATAGAAACATGATTCAATAGAAACTTTTTAGTACATTGAACATCCATAGTCGATTACAATATATATACACTTATATTTATCAAGAAGTGTAATCCAAATAATTAGTTTATTTAAAAAATACATCCAAGTAACAATGGTAGTTTTCAACCTATCAGTATGGTAAGTTGGAGCACCCGAAAAGCTTTCTTGAAATTAGGCATATGAATACATTGGTTAAAACTCGTTTTATCCTAAAATAATATATATCCTATAGTAGATAAACTTCTAATTTACTTTTCAACTTTCCTGTATAAGTGTGTATATTCCATCACTGAGTCAGTAAAACTTGTTTGATGTTTTACATGATAGACAACTTTCTATTTTAAATAATAAGTAATTGTTGGCAATATCCTCAATTTATGACATAAGCTAAAAGTATGTTTTATTCTATAAAAAATTTCACATATGATACATTTAATTTTCAAAATTACAAAATATATATGTAAACTTTGTTCACAAAATTATTACAAATGCTGTTTTCTGGTATACCATAATAAATGGAATTTTTAATTTTTATTAGTAAATGAATTCAAATGTTAAGAATGCTACATATACGATTTTAAAAAGAGAAATTGGAAACTAAATATCTAAAATTTTGATGAGTTTACTTTAAACAAATTGTATAATCATAATTGAGAGTAAACATTCATATAATTTCAAAACTAAGGAACATACACCATTAAACTAGGAGATCAGCTTGAACGCAGCTGAGATAACAGCTTTCTGAGTAATGTAGTCAGCTCAACATCAAAAGTAGGGGTTGTAGGCACTCATATTGCCTTTCCATGATGGCAGTCTCTCCAGTTTTCTTCCCAAATAGGACTCAAGATGTTCTTTTGTCTCCACTATTCTGTTGTCTACATTTAGGATCTCTATATTGCTCAACTGGATTATTGCAATAAGCTCCAACTATGTATCTATCTATATGTAAATCTATATATCTATCTGCCTCTACTGTTTGTTTGCATAATTTATTATTTGCATAACCACCATAGTTAGCTTCTTAAAACATATAGTGTTGTTCTGTTGCACATGTCTTTCAACAGCCTCCAATTTCCTGTAGATAGGATGTCCAGGCTTCTGAGCCAGGCAAACTAGATGCATCAAATGTTATTTCAGTTGGCCTTTCTAATAGTCTTTGTTTATTGTATTTATTTTATCCTTCCTCTACAGTTTTCCTGAATTTCTTAGAATGTGTCATTTTATCCCTCAAAGGTTAATTTTCAGGTGGCCATGAAAACTAGAGTGACTTGAGATGCTTCTCTAGATTGCTCTTTTCTCTCCTGCACTGAGTTTTCAAGATTAACAAGATATGTCTTTTATCTTTTCAAAAAAAATGTGTTTAATGGACAGTCTATAGTAATTACTCAGTGAATTTTTTTACAATTAAATAATTGTGTGAATATATGTATGTATGTATGTGTGTGTGTATAAGTGTGTGTGTACATATACAACACATGTTTGAATGATCCACATAACATACATGGTCTAAATTGGTTTTTATACTTTTTTTTAAAAAAAAAGCACATAGAGAAAAGTTAAGGATGAATACAATTACCAAAGTAAATATTTTTGTTTTAATCCGTGAGTTAGTGAATTACTTTATAGGACATTGAACTAAAACAAAAGCAATTTTTCAAGTTATCTCACTAATTTACAAGGTCACTAAGTACTGAAAAACCAAGAAAATAATATCCTTAGGCAATATTGATTTTTCAATTTTTTAAAAATAATTAAGTATTGTAAAGTCTTCACTATATCTACCAGCATTTTCAACCAGCATTTGATTCTAAATCAAAATTCAGAATTCTTCGTAGCCCATCATATTCTTAAACCATAAACATGCCACCAATTATGCATATAATATGGAGTAAAGAAAGCTCATTTTCTTGCATCTTAACAAGTTATTCAGCAAAGGACTGATATTCCAAGCAATTTCAAGGCTGTAACCAGCCATAATGTCCTAAAAATGAAGTAACTGGAAATTCAACAACACTTTATTTAGGGATAAGACAATTTAACTTAGAATTTCCTGATTTCTGCCTTTAAAATATCAACAGTTTCAACAGCTAATTAGCACACTTTGTTTTCTAACAAAGGATAATAATGAAAAAAAGAAAAAGAAATATCAAGAACAATTTGATAGAATCAACTTTTAATCACACATTTCTCTTTTGATGAGACTCTACAATGTACTGTTTTCCTACTTACTAAAAGATTTTAAATGCTTAATTAAAATTACATAACCCTATTACTTAGTTGCCCTTTAAAAGGTTTTTCTGTCTCACAGTATATGTTTTTGAAAATTATATAAATATTTAAATTTTAACTATAAATGACTCTGTGAATCTCTCCTATAATTCTGTTTTACAGATTTTTAAATATTTACTCAAATTTATTTTAGAAAAGTGTTATATTTGCAGAAATTTCAGAAAGGTTGTTCAGAAATTTTCCATATCCTGACCCAGTTTTCCCTGTTTCTAATGTGTTACATTATTATGGTACATTTGTCACAACTAATAAGACTTCATTGACATGGAGTCACAGGAAAGTGATATGAAATTTAAGACTCTGGCAAGAATTTCAGGGTAAAACTCACTTCCTAAAATGGCTTTTAAAATTCTGAAAGGGATGCCATGTGCTGAAGATGTATAAATGCCTGAGTTGCCATGGCATATGATAGATGATGGGGAAAAAAAGTCTCAGAGAACTGGGCATACTGGAATGCAGAGATTATGTAATGCTGGAGAATTTATCAGAGGTAAATCCATGGTAGAGCCCAGAAGACACACTTTCCAACAAGACCATCAATGAATGTAACAATGAAAGGTCTGAGAAGACCACTAAGTCCAATGTTGGTTCTTCTCTTTAGAGCAGGTCTGATGGTTGAAGAGGTGGTCACAGAGCTTGGCTTAATAGCAATTAATTGTTGGCACTCATTGCACTTGTTGTTAACAGCAATGAGTATGACAGATCTCCAGGTGGCAGCTCTTAATTGCCAGGTCCATAGTGCTACAATTATAATAGCAAATGACAGGTTGGTGGGACTGCTATGGGGCTGCACCTTCAGAGAGTTCTGGAGATGATTAATAGAACATGGTATTCTATCTGAGGGAAAAAAATGTGAAGCAAATGAAGGTGCTGCTTAACATCTGTAAGCAGAAGAAAGGGTGAATAAAGGAACAAGAAGCTGAGAACTGTTGTCCTGATGACAAGTCACATCACTTTTTCAGTTCTTCCTCTCCCACCAATTTTCAGATATGAAATTAGTTGATTACGTGGCCAGTTTTTAAATCAAATAGCTGTACAAAATTAAAGCAATTATATCTTGTAATGATTACTCCACTTTTGCCCCAAAGAGACGTATAGCCATTTATTCAGTTGAATTTTTTCTGGGGAAAGAAAAATACTAAGACATTTCAAGGACTATCAAACAAAGGGTCAGAGTTGACATTAATAAAAAGAGATCTAAAGTGTTCCCTGTTAGAGTTAGGGTCTATACAGGTGAAGCAATAAATGGATGTCCAGATAAAGCACACCGTTTCAACAACTTACCCAGTTGTAATTTCCCCAACCAGCAAATGTATAAACCTCACTTTGAGTTTTTGGCAACTGAGATAAGACCTCTCATAGTGTAGAAAGCCAAGTGGAAGTCTGAATATATTCCTCGCACCAGCCAAGATAATAAGTAAAAATAATGTTGCATTCCAGAATCTAAGGGAATGAGGAGAATGGGCATAGGTAACACATTTAAAGATCTAAATGATGTGAAGATGGTTGTCCTTGTAATAGTTGCATGTAGTTAACCAGTGAGGCTTCTGGTTCTGTCTATCTACCAGATCTTCTTCTAACCAGATAGATTAAAAAAAGATGACTTCTCAAACAACTGGCAATCCAAATCACAACTACTCTAAAGAACATGATATTTTGCCTAAGTACCTGATATAAGGTCATTTATCTGACAAATGTGTTGTTTTATATGTCAGTTAATGAAGAGAATTTATTCAATTAATAAATTAGAATTAGAGGCTGGGTGCAGTGGCTCACGCCTGTAATCCCAGCACTTTGGGAGGCTGAGGCGGGCGGATCACGAGGTCAGGAGATCAAGACCATCCTGGCTAACACGGTGAAACCCCGTCTCTACTAAAAAATACAAAAAAAAAAAAAAAAAAAAAAAAACTTAGCCGGGCATGATGGCGGGCGCCTGTAGTCCCAGCTACTCGGGAGGCTGCGGCGGGAGAATGGCGCGAACCCGGGAGGCAGAGGTTGCAGTGAGCGGAGTTCACGCCACTGTGCTCCAGCCTGGGTGACAGAGCGAAACTCCATCTCAAAAACACTAAATAAATAAAAAATAAAAAAGATAATAAAAAAATTAGAATTAGAGATTGGATTCATTCACAGTTTTGAACCAGGACTATATGAACTCTGTTGTCATACCTTTCAGTCATAATATAGTCACAACACTTCTGGACCATTTCCATATTATGAAGATCTCACTAATCTAATGTATCAATTATATGACACTTATTAGCTGGAATAAGCATGTTAGAGTCAATGATGAGACATCTGAACACAAGATGGTGGGTGATAAGTCCTGCAAAATTTCAGATTTAAGCCACTGCTGCAAACATTTTAGGGAGCTGATGGTTAGAGCCATTATAGGATATCACTCCAAGAAAAATACAAATTGCTGCATCTTCCATATCCTACCATCAAGAAGCAAATATGGTGCCTGATACGCTTCTTCAGGTTCATGAAACAGCTCATGCCACTTCCAGCCCCATACTGTGTAAGATGGTAATGACTAAGATAGAAAAGATCCAGGCTATGGTGAAACAGTTCCTGCTGCTTTTTAAAAATCTAATAGTACTTAAATTGGTACCAGTAAAGTGGGGAGCTGCTGAAAACATACCCGAAAATGTGAAAGTGACTTCGGAACTGGGTAACAGACGTTGGAACAGTTTGGAGGGCTCAGAAGAGACAGGAAAATGTGGAAAAATTTGAAAGTCCGTAGAGACTTATTGGATGGCTTTCACCAAAATGCTGATAATAATATGGAAGATAAAATCCAGGCTGAGGTAGTCTCAGATGGAGATGAGGAACTTGTTGGGAACTGTAGCAAAGGTGACTCTTGTTGTGTTTTATCCAAGAGACTGGTGGCATTTTGCCCTTGCCCTAGAGATCTGTGGAACTTTGAACATGAGAGAGATGATTTAGAGTATCTGGCGGAATAAATTTCTAAGCAGCAAAGCATTCAAAAGATGACTTGGGTGCTGTTAAAGGCATTCAGTTTTATAAGAGAAGCAGAGCATAAGAGTTCGTAAAATCTGCAGCCTGTCAATGCGATAGAGAAGACAATCTTGAAAACAAAGCTAAAAAGCTTACATTGCCTCTATTTGGTGCCATGAAAGGAGGAAGCAAATTCAAATTAAAAACTAGAACAGCAGGGAAGTTACCCCCGAAGCATCCAGAACTCCCTCCAACTTTAATGAGAATGAAAGATGAGCCTGAAGTAGAAGAGGAGGAGGAAGAGGAAGAGGAAGAAGAGAAAGAAAAGGAGGAGCATGAAAAGAAAAAACTGGAGGATGGAAGCCTCAGTAGGCCACAGCCAGAGATACAGCCAGAAGCAGCAGTGCAGGAAATGAGGCCTCCCACAGATCTCACACATTTTAAAGAAAACCAAACCCATGAAAACATGTCTCAACTTAGCGAGGAAGAACAGAATAAAGATTATCAAGACTGTAGCAAAACCACTTCATTGTGCGCAGGACCCTCAGCATCAAAGAATGAATATGAGAAAAGCAGAGGTGAATTGAAGAAAAAGAAAACACCTGGTCCAGCAAACTTCCACCAACACTTTCTTCCAAATATCCTGAAGATGACCCAGACTACTGTGTGTGGGTCCCACCTGAAGGTCAAAGTGGAGATGGCAGAACCCATCTTAATGACAAGTATGGCTATTGATTGCTTCAGAATCCCAAAAGAAAACCTTGTGGACCATGTGACATGGAATATTTGGGATAATGTATCAAATTGAATGGCCAGAGAAGTTTAGATGATCATTTGTAAGATCTGGTGACAGGCTTTTCGTTCTGTGTTCTTGGCTTCCTGAATTTATCTGCCCATATGATTCTCATGCATTTGATATTTATGTTTAAAAGTGTTTATATATGTATGTAAAAAGGGAACCATATGTTTTGAGAATTTGTAAAGTGAGAGACATGATCCTATTAAAAAGGCAAAAAAAAAAAAAAGACAATCTTATTTTCTGAGGAGAAATACAAGCCAGTTGCAGAAATTTGGATAAGTAATGAGGAGCCAAATGTTAATCCCCAAGACAATGGGGAAAATGTCTCCAGGGCATGTCAAAGATCTTTGTGGCAGCCCCTCGAAGCCTACGGACTTGGTGCCCTGCGTCCCAGCTGCTCCAGCCATGGCTGAAAGGGGCCAACGCAGAGCTTGGGCTGTGGGTTCAGAGGGTGCAAGCCTCAAGCCTTGGCAGCTTCCACATGGTGTTGAGCCTGCTAAGCCTTACCTTTGACATCAACATCTTCCTTTCTGTGAATAGAGTGTGAAGTAGAGAGAAACACAAACCGAATCAAACCACAAAAATAATGTTCCCTATCCCAAGGGTAGATTGTAGCTTTGAGATATTTCCTTAATCTACATATTTTCTGAGGGGTTCTACTTCAGAAACTTGGAGTGATGTTCTTCCTTGGACAGAGTCAAACTCCATACTCTTACAGCCTGCAATGTTCGTTATCCTGGGCCTGTTTTCTTTTCATGATTGCTCCTTTCTCCTGATGTCTTCCAGTTATTTTGTAAACTACAAGAATGTTGTTTTCTAAACTTCCTCTCATAAACTCGTGTCTTAGAAATTTAACCAAATGTGTATGTTAATTAGCTTAATTTAGCCATTCCACAATATGTAACTATGTTATCCACAGGGGAGACATTCCAAGACCCCCAGTGGATGTCTGAAACCACAGATAGTACCAAACCCTATGCATTAATTTCTTTTATCTTCTTCATGATTTCATGGATAGATGATTCATTTTTACCAGTGGAGCTTAGCAACCTCAGTGGGCAATATTTTTCTTTCCTTATTAAGTTCCAAATGCTCACCATTTCCCCTAAAGGAAGAATGATTCTGCTTCTCATTGGTATATCTGAATTGTCACCATCATTACTCTTGTGCTTTGGAGCCATTATTAAATAAAATAAAAGTTACTTGAACATAAGCCCTGCTATGTGGTGACAGTTAATTTGAATATCCCAGAAGGATACTAAGTAGCAGGTAATGTATACAGCATGGATACACTGGATAAAGAAATAATTCACCTTTCAGGCAGGAAAGAGTAAAATGGCCCAAGATTTCATGATACTACTCAGAATTTAAAATCTATAAATTATTTATTTCTAGAAATCTCCATTTAATATTTTTGGACAATTGTGGGTAACTGAAGCTGTGGAAATGAAACAGGGTAAGAGGGTGACTACTGTATCTCAGAGCAACACATTGCATATGAAAAAATATACTATTTTTATTTTTCAATTAAAAAATATATATTTAAAATAAATAAAGGCATAATGCAGAGGTTATTATAGAAATTGATTATAGAGTAAAATTGAGAGCTATGATAAGGCAGAATGAATGTAACCTGAGGACACATGGTTGTGACATAGAAGAATTGCTAATACAGATTTGATATGTCTAACAAGTGCTGCATTCAGTGAAAACTATACTACCACTCTAAGGTCAATATGTTCTTTCTTTCTTTTTTTTTTTTTTTTGAGTTGGAGTCTCTCTCTGTCACCTAGACTGGAGTGCAGTGGCATGATCTTGCCCTCCCAGGTTCAAGCAGTTCTCCTGCCTCCACCTCCTGAGAGGCTAAGATTACAGGCGTGCACCAATGCACCTGGCTATTTTTTGTATATTTAGTAGTGACAAGGTTTCGCCATGTTGGCCAGGCTGGTCTCGAACTCCCGACCTCAGGTTATCCACCTGCCTCGGTCTCCAAAAGTGCTGGAATTAGAATCATGAGCCACCGCGCCCAGCCAATATGTTCTTAATGCTTTATTTACTCACTAGTGGTCTTATAGTTGATGGTGAAAGAATTCACATTGACTTAAATACCACAGCTTAACAAGCCTGGAAGTCAAATAGGCAAATCCTCACTCATTTTCCTTGTTCTTGTTAGTTTCTTGGCAATTCTTGTTCCTTTACACTTCTGTAAAAATTTTAGAAGTGTGTGAACTTCAAAAAGGAACTTAGATTGCAGTTTTATAGAACCTATAAAATAATTGGGGAAGAGTATCGTTCTGATATCTTTATGAAATTGTCTTCTTGTCCATGAGGATGGGAGATCTCTTCATGTATTTGTCAATACCTTCATTAATTTTAGATAAATTTTCAAGCTTTCTGCTCATATAATGGACACATTTTTGTTAGATTTATTTTGAGAAATTTATTTTGTTGCTATTGTAAATATTATTTTTAAATTATATTTTTAGTTGTAGTATATGGAAATTTGGTTAACTTTTTAATATTGAATTTTATCCAAACATGTTTTGTAAAGATTTATTATTTTCTGGTAACATAAATAGACATTTCTAAACATGTTCTATTTGGATAATTACTTGCAAATGGGGGTGATTTTGTAGTCTCCTTTCCTTTTACAGTTATTTTTCTTTTATCTTAAAATAAAGATTAGATTAGCCATGCTAATCTGACAGAAATCTTGGCAGTCAGTACCTTTGTTATTGTCCTTATTTCAAGGCAGCGCTTTTAATGTTTATTAACAATAAAATTTGTTGTTATTTTTCCTTCTTAAATATAATTTATGAGATTGTGGAAGGTTTCTTATACTCTTGGTAGTAATATTTATTATTATAAATGATAGCTGAATTGTATTAAATACAGTTTTTTGTATCTATTAAAAGATAAAAAGATGTTCCTATATTATTATATTTTTGAAATTTATATTTGCATTTACAGACTTTACAAAATATTAAACTATCATTCTAAAGACATAGTAAACTTGCTCATGACATATTTCTTATTAAAGTGTTAAATTTATTTAGTTTGATTATATCTATATTTATAAGAAATATTTGTCTACTTTCCTAGTCTGATTTTGTATCAAATAGTGTCCATATTCCAATCTCTTTGCATTTATATAAATTCAAAATAATCTATTTTAAGAAAATTTTGCAAAATGCCCCCTATCATATGAATACTTAGCTGGGCAAAGGATTTTTATTTGTTGAAGATTTTTTATGTTTAATTATTATTAATGGGCATAAAATGGTTCATGCACTCCAGTTCTTCTTGAGACAGGTTTGAGAAGATATGTTCTAGAATTGCCTTCATAGATTCACACTAAATTAGAATTACTAAATGAACAGTGTACACAGGTACAAATCAAATAGAAATGTCTGAACTCAAAAGGATTTTTAAAAAGAAAAATAATCTAAAATGTTAGAGCAAAGTAATTAGAATAGAATTTAAGAAATGGAATTTGGAAAGATTAATTTTACCATAGTACATATAGTGTTGAGTATGAGGAGAAAATAATTGTGGGGAATAAAATTAAAGGTACTAGAATATTTCTGACATTATGTCTTAGTCAGTTTGGGCTGCTATAACAAAGTACCATTGACGGGGGCTTTATAAACAACAGAAAATTGTTTATCACAGTTATAAGACTGGAATTCTGAGTCCGGAAGACAGCATGTTCAGACTCTTGTGAGGGCCCGGGTCTGGGTTGCGGACTACTGACTGGACTTTTCCTTTTATCTTCACATGGCTGAAAGGAAGCTAGCTAGCTCTCTGGCCTTCCCCTAATCCCATTTATGAAGACTACAACCTGGTGACCTAATTATCTCCTGAAGTCTCTATGGATATTAGGGTTTCAACTTATGAATTTAAGGAAGACACAACATTCACTGTATGCCAAACAGTTTCCCCAAATGTACTTTACCCAAAATATAAACTTTTAGTGTAGACTATATTTTTTTCCAAAAGTAGGACCACAGATATCCTTTATGGTATACAGTCTTCTCATTTTGGCTATTCATCATATTCCTCTGCACTGCACAGTAAACAATGGTATATAATAAAGCACTGGAAAATATCATTGACACACTTATTTCACATTAACAATATTTTTAGAATACAGGCATATGCATCGTATTCTGCTAGGGATTGGGAGGCTGCACAGTCAAGGCTGTAGGTAAAATGCAAGGAAAGGGGCACACAATTGAATCTAGATATGTGTGCTTTCTGATGATGATAGCCTTTAAGTTAGAACCTAAATGATAAGTTGAAATTGTTCAGTTAATCGGGAAAAAGAGTAAGGTCCTCTATCCTTGCTTTTACTATGTAAATATACAAGTTCATTATCGATTCACCTATTAAATTAATGTTTGATTTATTTATAGTTTAGGGCTGAGGTATATTTTCATTTGTCTTAGGTAACTGTCAAGATGTGAAATTGATGGGTCTTAGAAAAGGAATATGCTTTATTTTAAGAACACAAAATGCCAGAATGATTCCCACTATTTGTAAAATATGAAATAACTACCAGCAATGTGTGGAGACTCTGTCCCACATCCTTGCCAGAATTTGTTTTTGTTGTTAGTTATAAAATTAACTACCATGAAACATGTGTAGCAGAACTTCTTGAATTTTTGAATTGTATTTCCAAATTAATAATATTGAGTTTGTTTACATTAATAATGATTATTTGATGGCATCATAAACTGCCTTTTAAAATCTTTCCCCATTTTCAAAAGTTTGTTCTTTTCTTATTGATTTTTAGAAGTTATCAAATATTCTAGATTTAAGTACTTTGTTAAATAAAGCAAATATTCCTTCCAAACTGTGACGTACTAGCTTATTGTTTTTAAGTAGGTGAATTTGAATTTGTCACAATTTTATGTTTATCTTTAGTGCTGCCTGGGACCCATCTAATAAATCTTTGTGTACCCAAGGTTTTAAAGATATACTATGTTTCCAGAATGTTTAGATAGCCTAAGTGGATAAATATAAAATACTTGTTATTGTTCCTTGATATTTTAATGGATTGATTAGGATAAAAGCCATACAAACGTATTGTGAGCTTTCTAAGGAATATAAAAGTTAATCATATGATAATCTTACTTTAGGTATAAAAGAATAAAAAAACGGGCAGTGTACTCTTTCATATTTAGTAGAATGTATGACAAGGGGCATTTGAAGGACACACTGCAAAAGTTAAATATGCAGATTTGTGAACCACTGAAAAATAAACCAAGGAGTATAGCTGATAAGATAGTAAACTAGGTAAAACGCTATAAAATGAAGCCATAAAGAAAGAAGTGTAAGAACAAGACACAGATGAGACAAATTGAAAATGCTTAACAAGGTGATTGATATGAATCTAGCTATATTAAATATAAATAAATTAAACATTAAATATAAATAAATTATATAGTACAATAAAGAAAGGAAATAGGCTGATTAAAATGGAGAGACTCTTCACCACATCTGTGCCAACATCTACTGATTTTTGACTTTTAAATTATGGCCATTCTTGCAGGAATAAGGTGATATTTCATTGTGGTTTTAATTAGGATTTCCCTGATAATTAGTGATGTTGAGCAGTGTTTCATATGTTTGTTGGCTGTTTGTATATCTTTTTTTGAGAATTGTCTATTCATGTCCTTTGCTCACTTTTTAAAAAAATAATTTAATTTTATTTTAAGTTCCAAAATACATGTGCGGGATGTGCATGTTTGTTACATAGATAAATGTGTGCTGCTAGTGGAAACATAAACTAGTACAACTACCATGGGAAAATGGTATTAATATTCCTTAAAGAACTAGAAGTAGAACTACCATTCTATCCAGCAATCCCACTACTGGGTGTCTACCCAGAGCAAAATATGTCATTATATGAAAAAGACACACATGTACATGCATGTTCATAGCAGCCCAATTCACAATTACAAAGACATGGAACCAACTTAAGGGCCTGTCAACCAATGGGTGAATAAAGAAAATGTGGTATATATACACCATGGAATACTATTCAGCCGTAAAAAGGAATGACATAATGCCTTTTGCAGAAACTTGGATGGAGCCGGAGGCCATTATTCTAGGTGAAGTAACTCAGGAAGGGAAAATCAAATATCATATGCTCTCACTTTTATGTGGGAGCTAAGCTATGAAGACACAACGGCATAGAATGACATAATGGACTTTGGGGACTTGGGGGAAAGGGGGCAGGGGTGTGAGGGATAAAAGAGTACACATTGGGTACAGTGTACACTACTTTGGTGACAGGAACACCAAAACCTCAGAAATCACCACTAAAACCCTTATCCATGTAACCAAAAGCCCCCTGTACTCTCAAAGCTATTGAAATAAAAATAGAAATTATTTTTTAATGGAAAGACTCAAATACGTATTGTCTATAAGAAACCCACATGAAAAACAAATGCAGTCTTTGTGCCAGAAAAAAGCTAATTCATGGAAAGAATTCTATGATCGTTCTGGTGACCAGCCTCCATCCAGTAGCCCACCAAGGATGGTCTCATTATTAACAGTAGATGATCATTTTACCCAGGAAATTCCAAGGTATTAAGACCTCTCTGTCAGGAACTGGGGTCCAACACCAAATATTACGAGAAAATTTGCACCTAGCATCCCCATTGCTCAGAAAATAGTGTAAGAATTAGGTGTTCTCTGTAAGGAAACAGGAATAGAGACCAATAATATATTTTTATTATGTCACAGAATCTGACAGTTTTTCATCAAGAAGAGAATGTGCAGAATATAAGGCTCATGGTGACTACTTTTTTTATATGGAAGCCCTCTCCCATCACTCAAGACTTGACAGCATGGTAGGCACACATGGAGCTGGTTCTAATATGCTGCTTGGATAGATATTTGAAGCTTGAGCATAATAGCCTACAGTAAAGTAGTTGGAAATGTTAAGACAGCTTTAACAGAGTACGGAAGGGAAGATTCAGAAAGCTCAAGAAAACGGATATACATGTTAGAATGGGCTTATCATGTGAGATCAAAGAAGAAACCACCTGGCTCAGTTTCCCAGGAGAGCACAGAAAATATTCCCTTTACTAAAGAAAGGAGGAATGCAAAAGTAGAATGACACTGGTATCTCCAAAGGTTTCATGGGCCAAGGCAAAGTCAATAAAGCAGTTTCAAACTTACCTGTTATTCGAGAATCAGAAACTATGCCGATAGAACTAATTGAAGTGAAGCAGGCAGTAATATTAGACAAATAACCAGCCAGAAGGCAGGGAATATGACGAAGTCAGCCATCCAAAATTAAATAGAATATAAGTGCTAACTAAATGAGTTAGAGTAGAAGACACGGGAGAGAGCTTAAGGAAAGGCACAGCCTGTCCGTGATAACCAACTATCTTGTTCCAGAAAGAATGACTATTTTTTTTTTGACATTTTCACCTTAGGACATGTGAATCAAAGACTAGAGTAGATTAAAAAGATATCACACATATGTTTTCACAATAGTCTGAACGTTCAGGAAAATTAGATAGAAAAGAGAAGCTGGAGGTAAGAAAGTAAACTGCCTACAGCAATGAGTGAGGTCTCCTCAAATGCTCTTCTAAGATAAGACAGAAAGGTTGAGAGTAAAAGACGTTTAGGTGTATTAATATCACTTAGGTACTAATTTTGTATTCGGAGTGAGTGGGGAAAGTAAAAGACAAAGAGGGCTCATTGTTTCTTTGTTTTTTGAGACAGAGTCTCACTGTTGCCCAGGCTGGACTGCAGTGGCACAATCTCAGCTCACTAGAACCTCCGCCTCCTGGGTTCAAGCAATCCTCCTGCCTCAGCCTTCCCAGTAGCTGGGATTACAGGCGTGTGCCACCATGCTCAGCTAATTTTTGTATTTTTAGTAGAGACGGGGTTTCACCATGTTGGCCAGGCTGGTCTCGAACTCCTGACCTCAGGTGATCTGCCCGTCTCAGCCTCCCAGAGTGCTGGGATTACAGGCGTGAGCCATCGCACCCAGCCAAGGTCATATTGTTTCAGTGAAAAAGCTGCAGCCTTATTTAAATTGCCTAGAAACGTTAAAATATAATAGTATTATTTCAATATCTACAAATGTAAAAATTTGGAAATAAAGGAAGCATAATGGTTTGCAAGGGCTGTAAAGACTGGGTGGCTTAAACAACAGAAATTTATTTTCTCTCAATTCTGAAGGCTGGAAGTCTGAGATCAAGGTGTTAGCAATGTTTGTTTCTTCTGAAACTTCTCTCTTTGGCTTATAAGTGGCCATCTTCTCCCCTGTCTTCTTCACATGGCCTTCCCCCAAGCATATCTATATCCTAATCTGTTTTTCTTTTAGGGATTCCAATAATATTGGCTTAGGAACCATTCTGACTTCATTTTATCCATTTAAGGATTTTCTCCAAATACAGTCATAATGTGATCTTAAGGGTTAGGAATTCAACATATGAATTGGAAGGAGGGTATATTTCAAGTCAAATATATTCAAGAAACTTGAAAAGACAGAAAATGATAGATATAGGATGAGTCATAGTTCCTTGCAGTACTGCCTTTTAGTTGTAATTAACATATAGACTGGAAGTTGTTGGATGAAAAGAAGGGTCAGGTATCAATTATTTTCTAATACATACACACTGGGGATATTTATATCAATTAATAACAAATTTTACTTTAGCATATACAATATAAGTTTCAACAAAAATGGCTAAAACAAATGCCTTGTATTTTTGTTTTTATGTATCTATCTAAATCAAACAATTCTTCACGTAACTTGTTCTTCCAGTACCCTAGACCTATAAAATTTCAGCTCTGATATAGTAATTCAGATAACTATGCAGATCCAATCAGTTTGCCATTCAGCTAATGGGATATTTATTTTTACTATAACATGCCCATCCAATTTTAACTAAATTTTAAAACTGTATATTTGGATTACAAATTGTAGAAGAATTAGAACCACCATATGCATTTTTTTTTTTTTGCAAATCTGTTGCCATTTTGCATGTATTTTAACACAAAAGTCTAATTTACCCTCCTTTAGTAACCACTAAGTAATACAGGAAATTGTATATGGATAGTTTCAAGAATTGTGGAGGGTATAAATTTTTACCTTATTTTCAAGCTTATATGTTAGTTTGACAGTTTCATGACTGCTGACAAGAAACATGAGACACCTGGGTCAGAGAAAAAGGTTGTATTGTTCATTGCACAGCAAGCTGCAGAAGCTTCATGTTCACTGTCCATCATTTCTCTTAAATTCCATAGAGAAGACACAAAGGGAACTACATGGGTATTATGCACACAATGTATTTGTATCATACCTGAAGTAATGAAAACTTAGAACCCTTAAAAATAGGCTGCAGGATGTGCAAAAATGAAAGAAACCATAGAAAATTGCCTCCAAATATCAAGAAGCTTAAATTAATAAGAAAATGTACCTTATATCTGCTCATCAAAAGTAATACATCTAGTATAATATTATTTACCTATTCTTAGTATACATTTTGATTAAATTGCTTATCTTTCAATAAATGTTTATTTTCAAACTAGTTCCGAATGATTTAAAAACAAAGCTAAACACTACTGGTGCCCACACATGCTACCCATTGGCCCTGACATGCCACTTACGGGCCCAAGGATCAGCCCACCCAGAACGTACTGCCACCACCATTAATTCTCATGCGAGCTGCCCAGGGACCCAAAGACTGGTCTTCCCAGGGCCTGCTGCCACCACAGCTGTTGCCCCAGCCTGCCACCCATTGGCCTGAGGACTGACTTACCCAGTGCCCCAATTCCCAGAAAATACTCACCACAGCCTCCACAAACAACTACAGCTTAAGCCACTGAAGAACGTACAGATATCATCGATATTGATTATAGCTAAAAAAAAATAATAATGTAAAGACTACACTATGGTACCCACCCAGAACCTTAGCCAAAGTACCCTGTTAAATTGACACTGTAGATTTATCTATAGGAAAAAAGTCTTTCCCTATTAAAGCTACTACATATGTTGGAAGATAAGACTGTTTTATCAGTTGTGCAGGCATCAATGTAAGAAAAAAAGAAATATTAAAAAGCAAGGAAACTGAACACTTCAAAAAGAATATAATAATTCTCTAGTAACAGACCCCCTCCCCCAAAAAAGAAAACCTATGAAATACCAAAAATGGACCTCAAAATAATGCTTTTAAGAATACTCAGAGATACAAGAGGACACAGATACACAATACAAAGAAATCAGAAAAACAATGTATGATGTAAATGAGAAATTCAACAAAGAGATAGATATTATCTTAAAAAGAACCCAATAGAAATCCTGGAACTGAGTAATTCAATAGATAAAATTTTAAAAATACAACACAGAGCTTCAATAATAGATTAAATCAGGCAGAATAAATAATTTCTAAAATTGAAGGCAGGTCTTTTGGAAAAAAATCAGACAAAGAAATAATGAAAAGAATGAAGAAAGCCTATGTGAAATATGAGATATCATCAAAGGAGCAAATATTGGAATTTTGGAATATACAGAAGTAGAAAAAATGAGAAAAGTCATAGCAAACCTATTTAATAAAATAATAGCTGAAATTTTCACAAGTATTTGAAGAGATATAGACTTCAAAATATAGGGAACTCAAATAAAACAAATACATTGAACTCAAAAAGACCTCTTTTAGGCACCTTATGGTTAAACTGTCAAAAGCCAAAAACAAATACAAAATTGTAAGAATAGCAAAAGAACAAGCACCAAGTCATATAAAAGCGATTCCCCAAAAGACTAACAGAAGATATTTTGCAAACCTCTTATGGGCTAAAAGACAATGGGATAATATATTCAAAGTGCTGTGGGAAAAAAAAAAATCGGCTAGCCAAGAATATTATATCCAGCAGAGCTATCATTCAGAAATGGAAAGCAAATCACATATTTTACACACATGCAAAACCCGAGGCCATTCATCACCACTAGAGAAGCCCTACAAGGAAGGCTAAAGGACATTCTACATCTGTAAGTGAAAGGACAATATCTACCATCATGAAAACATACCAAAGTAGCAAAATATTGGGTAAACCATGTACACAATGAGAAACATAAAGAAATAAAATATTATTAATAGAGAAAACCACCATATTGCAAAATTAAACAATAAAAGAGGAAGTAAGAAACATGGATACACAAAAAAATCACCTATCAATGACAACTTTGAATGTACATTGTTTAAATTCCCTTGTTAAAAAGATATACACTTACTGGAAAAAAAAAAAGCAAAATCCAACTATATATTGCCTGTAAGGAGCACATTTCAACTGTAAGGACACACTTGGACTGATAGGGAAGGGATGGGAAAAAATAAGTGAAAAACATAAAAAGAGATAAAGAAGGTCATTATATAAAGATAAGGGAATCAAATTATCAGGAGGTTATAGGAATTGTAAATATACATGCATCCAAGAGCAGAGTACTCTGATATATATAGAAATGTTATTAGAGCTAGAAAAAAGGAATAGAGTGCAGAAAAAGTATAGTTTTGGGCTTTAACACCCCTGTTTTATCATAGAACAGGGCATCCAGACAGAAAATTAACAAAGAAATATCAGACTTATACTGCACTGTAGACCAAATGGACATAACAGACACTTAAAGAAGATTTATTCAAAAGTTTCAAGAATGTATGTTCTTCTTATCAGCACATGAAACAGTCTTCATCATAGACTATAGATCAGGCCACAAAACAGAGCTCACCAAATATAAAAGAGTAAAAATTATATCAAACATATTGTCAGACCATAATAAAACTAAAAATTAATAACATGAACTCTGAAAATTGTATAAATACATGCCCATTAAATAACATGCTCTTTAACAACCATTGGATCTATGAAGTAATTAAGAAGTAAATATAAAAGCATTTTTTAAACAAATGAATATGGAAACGCAATATACCTTAATCTATGAGATACATCAAAAGCAGTACTAACAGGAAAGGTAGTAAAATCCAATGTCAAAAAGTCCAAAGATTTCAACAATCTAATGATGTGCCTAAAGAAATTAGAAAAACAAAAACAAACTACACCCAAAATTAGTAGAAAAAAAGAATAGAGCAGAACTAGATGAAATAGAGACTTAAAAAATAAAAGAAGATCAACAAAATAAAAAGTTTTTTTTGCAAAGATAAACAAAATCAACAAACCTTTACCTAAACTAAGAAAAAAGAGAAAATACCCAAAGAAATAAAATTAACAATAAAAAAGAAGACAGTACAACTGACACCACAGAAATACAAGAATCTGCTATGAACGACTATGCCTGCTATGAACATCTGCATGCCAACAAATTAGAAAATCTAGAGGAAATGGATAAATACCTGGACACATATAACCTACGAAGATTGAACCTGGAAACATTAGAAAACCAGAACAGATCAATCACAGGGAGATTCAATCAGTAATAATGTCTATCAACAAAGAAAAGCCCAGAACTGGATGGCATTCTACTGAATTCTAGAAAGTTTACAAAGAAGAACTAACACAAATTCTTCTCAAACTATTCCAAAAATTTTAAAAATAGGAAATACTTTTTAACTCATTCTACAAGCCAGCATTATTCTGATATCAAAGCCTGTCAAGGACATAATGAAAGAACATGACAGACCAATATCTTCAATAAATATACATGCAAAAGTGGTAAAAAAAAATACAAGCAAACCAAATATAACAACACATCGAAAAGATAATGCACCATAATCAAGTAGCATTTGTTCCAGGAATGAAAGAAAGCCTCAAATGAAGAAATGCAATTCATCACATCCATAGAATGAAAGAAAAAAAAATATGATCATCACAATAGATGCAGAAAAAATTATAAAATTCAACATTTATTTATGATAACTACTAACAAATCAGGTATATAAACAACATCCCTCAACTTAATGAAGTTCATATCTGATTAAACCACAGCTAATATTATGCTGACTGAAAAAAAGCCAGATTTTCCTCTAAGAGGTGAGACAAGAAAAAAAAATGCTCATTTCCACCCATTTTATTCAGCCTAGTACTGAAAGTCCTAGCCAAAGCAATTAGGCAAGAGGAAAAAAAGGAGGTGGGGTGGGGGGCGCCATATCAAAATAAAAGGTAGGTAACTTGCCCTCTTTCAAGATGGCATGATCTTACATATATTTAAAAACCTAATACTCTACCACAAAGTTTCATAACTGATACATGAATTCAGTAACTTATAAAGTGCAAAATCAACATCAATAACAAACTAACTGAAAAAGAAATGAAGAAAACAATGCCATTTATGATACTAAAAAACTGAATTAAATATACATTTTTTAAAAATTTATTATTCTTATATTTTAAGTTTTAGGGTACATGTGCACAATGTTCAGGTTAGTTCCATATGTATACATGTGCCATGGTGGTGCGCTGCATCCACTAACTCGTCATCTAGCATTAGGTATATCTCCCAATGCTATCCCTCCCCCCTCCCCCCACCCCACAACAGTCCCCAGAGTGTGATGTTCCCCTTCCTGTGTCCATGTGATCTCATTGTTCAATTCCCACCTATGAGTGAGAATATGCGGTGTTTGGTTTTTTGTTCTTGCGATAGTTTACTGAGAATGATGATTTCCAATTTCATCCATGTCCCTACAAAGGACATGAACTCATCATTATTTATGGCTGCATAGTATTCCATGGTGTATATGTGCCACATTTTCTTAATCCAGTCTATCATTGTTGGACATTTGGGTTGGTTCCAAGTCTTTGCAATTGTGAATAATGCTGCAATAAACATACGTGTGCATGTGTCTTTATAGCAGCATGATTTATAGTCCTTTGGGTATATACCCAGTAATGGGATGCCTGGGTCAAATGGTATTTCTAGTTCTAGATCCCTGAGGAATCGCCACACTGACTTCCACAATGGTTGAACTACTTTACAGTCCCACCAACAGTATAAAAGTGTTCCTATTTCTCCACATCATCTCTAGCACCTGTTGTTTCCTGACTTTTTAATGATCGCCATTCTAACTGGTGTGAGATGGTATCTCATTGTGGTATTGCTTTGCATTTCTCTGATGGCCAGTGATGGTGAGCATTTTTTCATGTGTTTTTTGGCTGCATAATTGTCTTCTTTTGAGAAGTGTCTGTTCATGTCCTTCGCCCACTTTTTGATGGGGTTGTTTGTTTTTTTCTTGTAAATTTGTTTGAGTTCATTGTAGATTCTGGATATTAGCCCTTTGTCAGATGAGTAGGTTGTGAAAATTTTCTCCCATTTTGTAGGTTGCCTGTTCACTCTGATGGTGGTTTCTTTTGCTGTGCAGAAGCTCTTTAGTTTAATTAGATCCCATTTGTCAATTTTGGCTTTTGTTGCCATTGCTTTTGGTGTTTCAGACATGAAGTCCTTGCCCATGCCTATGTCCTGAATGGTAATGCCTAGGTTTTCTTCTAGGGTTTTTATGGTTTTAGGTCTAACGTTTAAGTCTTTAATCCATCTTGAATTGATTTTTGTAAAAGGTGTAAGGAAGGGATCCAGTTTCAGCTTTCTACATATGGCTAGCCAGTTTTCCCAGCACCATTTATTAAATAGGGAATCCTTTCCCCATTGCTTGTTTTTCTCAGGTTTGTCAAAGATCAGATAGTTGTAGATATGCGGCATTATTTCTGAGGGCTCTGTTCTGTTCCATTGATCTATATCTCTGTTTTGGTACCAGTACCGTGCTGTTTTGGTTACTGTACCCTTGTAGAATAGTTTGAAGTCAGGTAGCATGATGCCTCCAGCTTTGTTCTTTTGGCTTAGGATTGACTTGGTGATGCAGGCTCTTTTTTGGTTCCATATGAACTTTAAAGTAGTTTTTTCCAATTCTGTGAAGAAAGTCATTGGTAGCTTGATGTAGATGGCATTGAATCTGTAAATTACCTTGGGCAGTATGGCCATTTTCACGATATTGATTCTTCCTACCCATGAGCATGGAATGTTCTTCCACTTGTTTGTATCCTCTTTTATTTCCTTGAGCAGTGGTTTGTAGTTCTCCTTGAAGAGGTCCTTCACATCCCTTGTAAGTTGATTTCCTAGGTATTTTATTCTCTTTGAAGCAACTGTGAATGGGAGTTCTCTCATGATTTGGCTCTCTGTTTGTCTGTTGTTGGTGTATAAGAATGCTTGTGATTTTTGTACATTGATTTTGTATGCTGAGACTTTGCTAAAGTTGCTTATCAGCTTAAGGAGATTTTGGGCTGAGACAATGGGGTTTTCTAGATATACAATCATATCGTCTGCAAACAGGGACAATTTGATGTCCTCTTTTCCTAATGGAATACCCTTTATTTCCTTCTCCTGCCTGATTGCCCTGGCCAGAACTTCCAGCACTATGTTGAATAGGAGTGGTGAGAGAGGGCATCCCTGTCTTGTGCCAGTTTTCAAAGGGAATGCTTCCAGTTCTTGCCCATTCAGTATGATATTGGCTGTGGGTCTGTCATGGATAGCTCTTATTATTTTGAGATACATCCCATCAATACCTAATTTATTGAGAGTTTTTAGCATGAAGGGCTGTTGAATTTTGTCAAAGGCCTTTTCTGCATGTATTGAGAAAATCGTGGTTTTTTGTCTTTGGTTCTATTTATATGCTGGATTACATTTATTGATTTGCATGTATTGAACCAGCCTTGCATCCCAGGGATGAAGCCCACTTGATCATGGTGGATAAGCTTTTTGATGTGCTGCTGGATTCGGTTTGCCAGTATTTTATTGAGGATTTTTGCATCAATGTTCATCAAGGATATTGGTCTAAAATTCTCTTTTTTGGTTGTGTCTCTGCCCAACTTTGGTATCAGGATGATGCTGGCCTCATAGAATGAGTTAGGGAGGATTCCCTCTTTTTCTATTGATTGGAATAGTTTCAGAAGCAATGGTACCAGTTCCTCCTTGTACCTCTGGTAGAATTCGGCTGTGAATCCATCTGGTCCTGGACTCTTTTTGGTTGGTAAGCTATTGATTATTGCCACAATTTCAGCTCCTGTTATTGGTCTATTCAGAGATTCAACTTCTTCCTGGTTTAGTCTTGGGAGAGTGTATGTATCGAGGAATTTATCCATTTCTTCTAGATTTTCTAGTTTATTTGCATAGAGGTGTTTGTAGTATTCTCTGATGGTAGTTTGTATTTCTGTGGGATCGGTGGTGATATCCCCTTTATCATTTTTTATTGCGTCTATTTTATTCTTCTCTCTTTTTTTCTTTATTAGTCTTGCTAGCGGTCTATCAATTTTGTTGATCCTTTCAAAAAACCAGCTCCTGGATTCATTAATTTTTGAAGGGTTTTTTTTGTCTCTATTTCCTTCAGTTCTGCTCTGATTTTAGTTATTTCTTGCCTTCTGCTAGCTTTTGAATGTGTTTGCTCTTGCTTTTCTAGTTCTTTTAATTGTGATGTTAGGGTGTCAATTTTGGATCTTTCCTGCATTCTCTTATGGGCATTTAGTGCTATAAATTTCCCTCTGCAAACTGCTTTGAATGCGTCCCAGAGATTCTGGTATGTTGTGTCTTTGTTCTCGTTGGTTTCAAAGAACATGTTTATTTCTGCCTTCATTTCGTTATGTACTCAGTAGTCATTCAGGAGCAGGTTGTTCAGTTTCCATGTAGTTGAGTGGTTTTGAGTGAGATTCTTAATCCTGAGTTCTAGTTTGATTGCACTGTGGTCTGAGAAATAGTTTTTTATAATTTCTGTTCTTTTACATTTGCTGAGGAGAGCTTTACTTCCAAGTATGTGGTCAATTTTGGAATAGGTGTGGTGTGGTGCTGAAAAAAATGTATTTTCTGTTGATTTGGGGTGGAGAGTTCTGTAGATGTCAATTAGGTCCACTTGGTGCAGAGCTGAGTTCAATTCCTGGGTATCCTTGTTGACTTTCTGTCTTGTTGATCTGTCTAGTGTTGACAGTGGGGTGTTAAAGTCTCCCATTATTAATGTGTGGGAGTCTAAGTCTCTTTGTAGGTCACTCAGGACTTGCTTTATGAATCTGGGTGCTCCTGTATTGGGTGCATATATATTTAGGATAGTTAGCTCTTCTTGTTGAATTGATCACTTTACCATTATGTAATGGCCTTCTTTGTCTCTTTTGATTTTTGTTGGTTTAAAGTCTGTTTTATCAGAGACTAGGATTTCAACCCCTGCCTTTTTTTGTTTTCCATTTGCTTAGTAGATCTTCCTCCATCCTTTTATTTTGAGCCTATGTGTGTCTCTGCACGTGAGATGGGTTTCCTGAATACAGCACACTGATGGTTCTTGACTCTTTATCCAGTTTGCCAGTCTGTGTCTTTTAATTGGAGCATTTAGTCCATTTACATTTAAAGTTAATATTGTTATGTGTGAATTTGATCCTGTCATGATATTAGCTGGTTATTTTGCTCATTAGTTCATGCAGTTTCTTCCTAATCTTAGTGGTCTTTACATTTTGGCATGATTTTGCAGCGGCTGATATCAGTTGTTCCTTTCCATGTTTAGCACTTTTTCAGGAGCTCTTTTAGGGCAGGGCTGGTGGTGTCAAAATCTCTCAGCATTTGCTTGTCTGTAAAGTATTTTATTTCTCCTTCACTTATGAAGCTTAGTTTGGCTGGATATGAAATTCTGGGTTGAAAATTCTTTTCTTTAAGAATGTTGAATATTGGCCCCCACTCTCTTCTGGCTTGTAGAGTTTCTGCCGAGAGATCCACTGTTAGTCTGAGGGGCTTCCATTTGTGGGTAACCCGACCTTTCTCTCTGGCTGCCCTTAACATTTTTTCCTTCATTTCAACTTTGGTGAATCTGACAATTATGTGTCTTGGAGTTGCTCTTCTCGAGGAGTATCTTTGTGGCGTTCTCTGTATTTCCTGAATCTGAATGTTGACCTGCCTTGCTAGATTGGGGAAGTTCTCCTGGATAATATCCTGCAGAGTGTTTTCCAACTTGGTTCCATTCTCCCCGTCACTTTCAGGTACACCAATCAGACGTAGATTTGGTCTTTTCACATAGTCCCATATTTCTTGGAGGCTTTGCTAGTTTCTTTTTATTCTTTTTTCTCTAAACTTCCCTTCTCGCTTCATTTCATTCACTTCATCTTCCATCACTGATACCCTTTCTTCCCATTGATCGCATCGGCTCCTGAGGCTTCTGCATTCTTCACGTAGTTCTCCAGCCTTAGTTTTCAGCTCCATCAGCTCCTTTAAGCACTTCTCTGTATTGGTTATTCTAGTTATACATTCTTCTAAACTTTTTTCAAAGTTTTCAACTTCTTTGCCTTTGGTTTGAATGTCCTCCTGTAGCTCAGAGTAATTTGATTGTCTGAAGCCTTCTTCTCTCAGGTTGTCAAAGTCATTCTCCGTCCAGCTTTGTTCTGTTGCTGGTGAGGAACTGCGTTCCTTTGGAGGAGGAGAGGCGCTCTGCTTTTTAGAGTTTCCAGTTTTTCTGCTCTGTTTTTTCCCCATCTTTGTGGTTTTATCTACTTTTTGTCTTTGATGGTGGTTATGTACAGATGGGTTTTTGGTGTGAATGTCCTTTCTGTTTGTTAGTTTTCCTTCTAACAGACAGGACCCTCAGCTGCAGGTCTGTTGGAGTACCCGGCCGTGTGAGGTGTCAGTCTGCCCCTGCTGGGTGGTGCCTCCCAGTTAGGCTGCTCGGGGGTCAGGGGTCAGGGACCCACTTGAGGAGGCTGTCTGCCTGTTCTCAGATCTCCACTGCTCTCTTCAAAGCTGTCAGACAGGGACATTTAAGTCTGCAGAGGTTACTGCTGTCTTTTTCTTTGTCTGTGCCCTGCCCCCAGAGGTGGAGCCTACAGAGGCAGGCAGGCCTCCTTGAGCTGTGGTGGGCTCCACCCATTTCGAGCTTCCCGGCTGCTTTGTTTACCTAAGCAAGCCTGGACAATGGCGGGCGCCCCTCCCCCAGCCTCGCTGCTGTCTTGCAGTTTGATCTCAGACTGCTGTGCTAGCAGTCAGCGAGACTCCGTGGGCGTAGGACTCTCCGAGCCATATGTGGGATATAATCTCCTGGTGCGCCGTTTTTTAAGCGCAGTATTCGGGTGGGAGTGACCCGATTTTCCAGGTGCCGTCTGTCACCCCTTTCTTTGACTAGGAAAGGGAACTCCCTGAGCCCTTGCACTTCCCGAGTGAGCCAATGCCTCGCCCTGCTTCGGGTTGCGCACGGTTCGCACACCCAGTGACCTGCACCCACTGTCTGGCACTCCCTAGTGAGATGAACCCGGTACCTCAGATGGAAATGCAGAAATCACCCGTCTTCTGCGTCGCTCACGCTGGGAGCTGTTGACCGGAGCTGTTCCTATTTAGCCATCTTGGCTCCTCCCTCCTTAAATATACATTTAACCAAAGATGTGAAAAACTTCTATGACAAAAATTTTAAAACACTAGTGAATGAAGTTGAATAAACAAATGGCGAGACATCCCATATCATGAACTTGGGTCATTAAAATTGCTAAAATGACTACAGTATCCAATGCAATTTACAGAATCAGTATCTCTAGCAAAATGCCAATAACATTTTAAATAGAAATAGACAAGGCAATTCTAACATTTGTATGAACCACAAAAGACCTCAGATGTCCAAAGCAATGCTAAGCACAAAGAACAAAGCTGGAGCATCACTTTACCTGACTTCAAAATATATTCCAAAGCCGTAGTAACCAAGGCAGCATAGTAGTGATATAAAAACAGACCCAAAGACCAATGGAATAGAGAACCCATAAATATATACCCTTATCTACAGCCAACTGATTTTTGAAAAAGGTACCAATAAAACACATTGGGGAGAGAACACCCTCTTCAATAAATGAATCTAAAAAAACTGGTTGTTTGTATGCAGAAGAATGAAATTAGACCCCTGTATTTCACCATATGCAAAAATAAATTCAAAATGGATGTAGGACTTAAATGTAAGATCTGAACCTGTATAAAATTACTGCAAGAAAACATAAGGGAAATGCTTCAGGACATTGGTCTAGGCAGATTTCATGGGAAAGCCTTCAAAAGCACAAACTACCAAAACAAAAATGGCAAGTGGGAATATATGTAAAAACCTTCTGCAAAGCAAACAATACAAAGAGTGAAGAGACAACATGTGAAATGGGAGAAAATATTTGCAAACTCTTCATCTGACAAGGAGCTAATATCCAGTATATACAAGTAACTGAAACAGCAACAGAAAAAAAAACCTGATTAAAATTTGGCATAGAATCTAAATAGATATTTCTGTGAAAAAAGACCTATAAATGGATCACACGTATATGAAAAAGAATTCAACATCACTCATCATCAGGAAAATGTAAATCAAAACAACAATGAGATATCATTTCACTCTTGTTAGAATGGCTCACATCAAAAAGAGAAAATATAACAAATGTTGGTGCAAATGCAGAGAAAGGGGAACTCTTATGTACTGTCAGTGGAATAGTAATTAGTATATTCATTATGGAAAACATAATGTAGGTTTTTCAATTAATTATAAAATAGTATTACTATATGATCCCGCAATTCTGCTACTGTGTATGTATATAAAGGATAGGAAAGCTCTAGTCAAAATACCCAAGATCTGAAATCAACCAAAATGTCCATCAAAAGATTGAGATATAATGAAAATGTGACATATGTATATAATGGTATATTATTTAGACATACCCACAAACACACACACACATGGACACACACAGAAATAAAATTGTGTCATCTGTGGCAACATGAATAAGCCTAGAGGACATGAGTTTAAGTAAAATAAGCCAGACATAGAAAGATAAATATTGTATATTCTCACTCATAAGTGGAAGCTAAGAAACAAAAATTGAGCTCATAGATGTAGGAGCAAAATTGTGATTATAAGAGGATAAGAGTTGTATTAGTTTGTTTTCACACTGCTGATAAAGACACACCCAAGACTGGGAGGAAAAAGAAGTTTAATGGACTTCAATTTCACATGCTGGAAAGGCCTCACAATCATGGCAGAAGGCTAGCAGGAGCAAGTCATATCTGACATGGATGGCAGCAGGCAAAGAGAGAGCTTGTGAAGAGAAACTCCTGTTTTTAAAACCATCAGATTTCATGAGACTTATTTAGCATCACAAAAACAGCATGGGAAAGACCCACTCCTCTGATTCAGTTATCTCCCATTGGGTCCCTCTCACAACACATGGGATTTCAAGATGAGAGTTGGGCAGGGACAGAACCAAACCATATCATTCCACACCTGGCCCCTCACAAATCTCATGTCCTCCCATTTCAAAATGAATCATGCTTTCCCAACAGTCTCCCCAAAGTCTTAACTCATTTCAGCATTAACTCAAAAGTCCACGGTCCAAAGTCTCATCTGCAACAAGGCAAGTTTCTTCCACCTATGAGCCTGTAAAATCAAAAGCAAGTTAGTTACTTCTCAGATACAATGGGGGTACAGGCATTGGGTAAATAGGAGAAATTGGCCAAAATAAAGGGGATAAATGCAAGTCCAAAATCCAGTGTGGGAGTCAAAATGATCCAAAATGATCTTTTGTGACCCATGTCTCACATCAATATCAAGCTGATGCAAGAGGTGGGTTCTCCTGGCCTTGAGCAGCTCCCGCCTCTGTGGCTGTGCAGGGTGTGGCCTTACTCCCAAGTGCTTTCAAGGGCTGGCATTGAGTGTCTGTGGCTTTTCCAGGCTCACAGTGCAAGCTGTCAATGGATCTACCATTCTAGGGTCTGTAGAATGGTGGCTGTCTTCTCACAGCTCCATTAGGTGGTGCCCCAGTAGGGACTGTGTGTGGGTACTCTGACCCCACATTTCCCTTCTGCACTGCCCTAGCAGAGGTTCTCCATGAGGACCCTGCCCCTGCAGCAAACTTATGTCTGGGAATCCAGGCATTTCCATACATCTTCTAAAATCTAGGTGGAGGTCCCAAAACACCAATTCTTGACTTCTGTGCACTTGCAGGCTCAACACCACGAAGAAGCTGCCAAGTCTTGGGGCCTGCACCCTCTAAAGCCATGGTCCAAGCTCTGTATTGATCCCTTTCAGACACAGGTGGGGCAACTGGGATGCAGGGGACCAAGTTCCTAGGCTGCACACAGCATGGGGATCCTGGGCCCAGCCCATGAAACCATTTTTTCCTCCTAGGCCTCCAGGCTTGTGATGGGAGGGGCTACCACAAAGGTCTCTGACATGCCATGCAGACATTTTTCCCATTGTCTTGGGGATTAACATTTGGCTCCTGGTTACTTATGCAAATTCCTGCAATTGGCTTGAATTTTTCCTCGATCATAGAATTTTCTTTTCTATCAAATTGTCAGGCTGCAAATTTTCCGAACTTTTATTCTCTGCTTCCCTTATAAAACTGAATGCCTATAACAGCACACAAGTCAGCACTTGAACTCTTTGCTGCTTAGAAATTTCTTCTGCCAGATACACTGAATCATCCCTATCAAGCTCAAAGTTCCACAGATCTCTAGTGCAGGGGCAAAACGCTGCCAATCTTTTTGCTTAAACATGACAAGAGTCACCTTTGGTCCAGCTCCCAACAAGTTCCTCTTCTCCATCTTAGACCACCCTTTCCTGGATTTCATTGTTCATATCATTATCAGTGTTTTGGTCAAAACCATTCAACAAAGAAATGAAAGAAAAAGAAAGGGAAGGGAAGGGGAGAGGAAGGGAAGGGAGGCGATGGGAGGGGAGGGTGGGGAGGGGATGGAAGGGAAGGGAAGGAAGGGAAGGGGAGGGAAGGGAAGGAAGGGAAGGGGAGGAAAGGGAAGGGAAGGGAAGGGCACCTCTAACTTGCCTCTAACCTAAACCTCCAGTAAATAAATGAATAAAAATGTAAAACACATTTTCAATATTCATCCAAAAAAGACTAATATGTTCCAATTTTAGTAATCATTAAAAATACTACATTTTATTAGTGCACACTCCTTTAGAAAAAAGTAAACAGGAGTTTTTCTATATTTCAAAGTTTATGTTTACAGTTAATGTATCATTTACTTCAACTATTCAGCTTAAAGGTTATATTTGTGTAAGATCATGGGTAAATTTTTTTTCAAATACTGTTCTCACATTGTAGTTAGAGCATAATATCAAAGCTTTATTAAATAAGTGCATCCCTTATTTTATTTAGCAATAAACTATAATTTTTAAGTAATTAGATATTTGGGAAAGAAAACTAGTCTTTTCCATATTTCTGGGTACACATACTGTAATTCCCTATTGTTTCATAATATGGTGTGTGTAACTCACTCAATTAGATGCTCTCAACATTTTTGTTCTTTACTTGAAGGTGGTGAGGTCAGCGATGTAATTGCTGTAATTTGGTTACCAAAGGATACAACTAACTGAAGGATAATGAATAAAGCAATTTCCCATTATTGGATAAAATTACTTGAGGCTGGAAAAGTTGTTTTACTGGTTTTGTTTTTCAGATGTTTATTTTGTTATTTTTTTAGGGTCCCTATAAAGCTCTGTTATATTAACAAGAGAAATTTGTTATGAAGGTTTCTACTTCTGGTAACACCTGTTTTACACCGTTAATTTTTTTAAAGTAACATTTTTAAGTTCAGAAAAGATTTTCATCTGGTTATATTTAATAGGCCTTTTTTATTTGCCTCCATTTTAAACAGAAGTTATTGTTATGTGATGAAGGAGCTACATGTCAATATGTTGCATGGCCAACCACATTTTGTTCTAAAGTGAAAGTAGTTCAATCTAGATGTCATCATGTTGTCTAAAGGTAACTCTTCTATGGACAGTTTCAGACACTTCCTTTCAGTTCCTGTTAATTTACACAGCAATTTACAAATTGTGGAAATGTTTTATTATTAACATGTCCTTCCAAATGGATTATACATTAATAAATTATAAGTAATTTTGCTTTCTTAAATCTAAATCTTATGCAGAAGAAAATAAATACTTCGAAATCTCTCAATTCACTGAAAAATTTAATTTTTCTTAAATTATTGAGACTCAATCTGATGCCATAACTTTGATCTAAATCTAATGGATTAACAGAAGCAGCAGTGTTACAAAGCTTATGTGCTTTATCACATAGATTTTATCACTTTACTATGATAATGGGTCATTCTCCAGTCAACCACTGGCAAAGCATGACATTTTTACAATCCCCATTACCTCTGTTGTACACTTAAATTTGATTTATAGGCACTGTTTTATGGCATGTTTGTCCTTAGGATGCACTGAGCAATGAAATAAAGAATATTAATGTGACTGGCTTTCAGAATAAGAGAATATCTTAGTTGTCACAGACTGTAGATGCAATGCTGACTGCAACAACAAAACGTCAAATTGTAAAGCGAGAGAAAATTAGCATTTTACTTATTCAGAAATGTGGCGGGAAAAGGCTAACGGAAAATAATAGAACAAGATGAATGAGTTCGAAGTAGTTTTTTAAGAATAAAAATAAAATATATAGAAAATAGTTATATAAGACAAAATGTCACATAAAAATTCATGCAACGTATAACTAACAACATTTTACTCAACATGTACCACATATTCCATCATGGTTCTATTAGATTATAATGCTGTATTTTTACTGTACCTTTTCTATGTTTAGATATGTTTAGTTATACAAATCCTTTTCATTGTGTTATAACTGCCTACAGTACTCAGTACAGTAATATGCTGTACAAAGTTGTAATTCAGGAACAATAGACTATACCATATAACCTAGATTTGTAGTATGTTATACCAATTAGGTTTGTGTAAGTATACTCTATGATGTTCACAAAATAACAAAATCACCTAACAATGCATTTCTCAGAACCATCGCCAACATTAAATGACATATGACTGTATAAATGATATGTGAGTATATGACAGAAATCAGGAAATCTGATCTTAAAATAGAGTTTAGAACAATTTTGAGTCGAAGTTTCAGGGAAATTGAAGATAAGAACAACTCAGCCAGAATAAATAAACCATGTTTTTTAAACCATTTTTTTGGGCCACAGTACTCTTCCTGTTTTATATTTCTGTAATTAGTAGTCATTTCTATGGCTAATTACACATCGAATTTTTAACTTTACATTGCGTGTTGGCTTACTTAAAGATAATATATATATCATTGTCTAATACTTAAATGAAATAGCCATGGTTTGGGCATGAATTTCCCCCATATTATATTCTGTATATAAGCTCCATGTATCCTGTAGTGGACTGTTAAGGGCTATTTTTTTATTCATTTAACTTGACTTGTAATTTTTTTACTTCAACATACCAATGCATATATTTAGGTACCTAATATTTCCCTATGAAGGATATTTAATGCTACTAGGAGAGTAGGGATTTAGCATTCTGAGTGTTCATGATGTCATGAGAACTAACAAATCTGATCAATGGTGAATAAGAAATAAAAGTCAAAAAAATAAATTGGATTACAATGAACTAATAAACAATTTTGTTTTGCTTTCCATTTTGGCATTGGTTTGAACATGTTTTTAATTTGGTCTTGTAATACAGTAAAGAAAAGACATGGAATATATCTGAGTATCTTTTTGCTAATTTAAATTATAATTTATGGCGAGCCTCCTATTTCTTCAAAAGATATATATATTATACACACACAGACATATATACACACACACATAAATATACATATACACATGTATAAAGGGAGAGAAGTATATAGATAGACATATTTTTCCCAACCCCCTATATAAGTTTTAATTTTGATAATTGTTTATCTGTGTGATTATATAATTAATTTCTGTCTTCCAAATATTACTAACTCCATAAATATAATAAACACGCCTCATTTTCCCAATACTTTATCTCAGTGGTTAAGATGTTGCCTCAGATCTGCTGGCATTCAATGAACATATGTTAACAAGAGGTTGAGATGAATAAATGTCCACATGCATGATTGAGAGTATATGAAACCAATTTAGAAAACAAAGAGATAGAACATTGTCTACTACATCTTTTACTGTCTCTAAATGGAATCATTAAGTAAAAATAAATTTTAGATATTACACATTATTTTTATAAAATGTTTCATTTCTATTTAACAACGTGTGTGTGAATAAGTGTGTACATGTGTGCATAAATATGTTTATATTTGTGTGGCTGTGTAACCCTAAAGCATATATGTATCCCCACAGATGCATACGTGTGTGGGTGTGTATATATATATATATATATGTATGTGTATGTGTTTGTTTGTTTGTTTCTTTGGGGCTACAGAAACAACTGACCATGTCTTCTTTGTCTTCTTTTGTATTTTGTTGCCAAGAAGCTCAAAGGAAATTCAGGATCAAAATATAAAAATACCATTAGGATTTATTACTTAAGTCTGTGTGATGCTTTGCCTCTCTGATTCTTTTTTTTGTTTGTTTGTTTGTTTGTTTGTTTTGACATGAGTCTTGCTCTGTCACCCAGGCTAGAGTGCAGAGGCATGATCTCTGCTCACTGCAACCTCTGCCTCCCAGGTTCAAGAGATTCTCCTGCCTCAGCCTCCTGAGTAGCTGGGATTACAGGTGCGCGCGACCATGCCCAGCTAATTTTTGTATTTTTAGTAGAGACGGGGTTTCACCATGTTGGTCAGGCTGGTCTCGAACCCCTGACCTTGTGATCTGCCTGCCTTGGCCTCCCAAAGTGCTGGGATTACAGGTGTGAGCCACCGCACCCGGCCTGACTCTCTGATTCTTACCCCCATTCTACCTTTACTTTTCTATATGCTTAAAGTTTAATACTGTGTTTCTATATGTGAGTGTTTGTTGGGGGGTGTTATTGTAAGTGGCTTAAAATTATCTTTAGAATTGGGTCCACCATATGTAAATAATGGTTCAGTAATCTAGCCCAAACAGGTGAATGCTCTCTTGTTACAGTTATATTTGACCAATGGTAAGAGTGGAAATCACCAAGATACAGGTTACGGAATATAGACTGTTAGATTATTCCATGTACTGTGAATCTAACTCCTACTGTCAATAATTTATAAAACAAAATAACTATTAAGTACTTCTATATCAATGATTTATGTTTTAATTTAAAAATTTCCTAGAATTCCTTTCTTTGATTAAAAAATTAAAACTACCCTTTTTTTATATCATTGAGGGGCTCTACTTAGAAAATGTTATGAGGAAAAAAAAAAAACAAAACATCCAAAACAAAACAAAACTTATAACTAGAATGTGCACAAAAAACTCTTTTTTGATTTTTTGCTACCAACCACTTCCTATTACTGTCAAATTGATACCAACAGGGGGCAGAGAAATTCTAGGCAGAAAAGGGCAGGTCCTCTGTGAAAACTCTCCCTCAAGCCCAAAATCCTGAAACCATGATCCAAAGTGAGAACTTATATCCCTGTTTTCCTACTTGAATGTTGCCTTTTCCTAAACCACCCATGGCCCCCTCCTGCCTCATCCTATGCCTATAAAAGCCCCAGACTCAGCCAGTAGACAGGACTACAGCCTGACGTCAGAGAGAAGTGGCTTGACTTCAGAGGGACAGCTTGATGACCTCTTTGCAGAAGAATCCGGCCAGAGATAGCTGGACTTCAGGGGAGGATTACCTACCTGCCCCATCTGCTTTTCAGCTCCCTTTCCCACTAACAGCCACTTTCATCAGCAATAAAATCCCCCACATTTACTATTCTTCAATTCTTTTGTGTGATCTCTTTTTTCCTGGATGCTGGACAAGAGTTCAGGATCCATGAGTGTGGATACAAAAGGCTGGCACACTGGCCCTTTGCACTCGCTGACAGAGGGCAACCACCTCATGCAAAAAGACAAGGGGCCAACTGACCTGTTAACACTTAAGTCATCTACTGACGCAGTGCTAAAAGAGCACTGCAGCATGCCCTCTGGGGCTTTGGCAGTTGCAGGCACCCCCACCTGGATGCTGCCACAGGCCACGCACAGAGTTCACTCCTGCTGGTGCTAAAGCATCTGGCCAGTCTCTGCACCCACTCACTTGTGTGCTCCCTCCAGCACAGAGTGGCATACAGTGGGTCCGAGTGAGTGGAGTTTGATCCTGCTGGTGCGAAAGTGGCCAGCCTGTTCCAGAGCTCATTCACTCCAGTTCTTGCACTCTTTTACTTTGGTGCTACCTCCACCAAGGAGTTGAGAATGGCAGGCTGAGTAAATGAGGCACCTGTGTCGCAAGTCACATAAAGGGTCAGGAAAATGCCCTGCTTCCAAATGTTTTCTGCTTTACATAATACATTTTATGGTCACATATTTATAACAAGCAGTATTTATTTTTTATCCCAAATGTTTTAGCCCCCTTTCATTTTCCTTACTAACATATCCAGCATTTGTAGCAAATAAGTACAAAAACAAGAAAAATTTCTCCTTTTAAGACTACTTTTTCTTAAAGACATATTTATATCTGATCACACAAGTAAATTTTACTTCTAGGAATATATATCTATGTCTGCACTTCAGGGATTGTGAGGTTAGTAGGTAGCCATTGATAGACCTCTGGCTTTTACTGGTCCCTCAGG
This sequence comes from Homo sapiens, assembly GCF_000001405.40. Taxonomy (NCBI): domain Eukaryota; kingdom Metazoa; phylum Chordata; class Mammalia; order Primates; family Hominidae; genus Homo; species Homo sapiens. The sequence goes on along the minus strand of NC_000009.12, from coordinate 30,530,351 downwards.
TTGTATTGTTAGTATCAAAAATAATGTTACAATTTTAACTAAAAGTATTTAAAACACATTTATATAAGATTTAAAATTAAATATAATAATTTAAATATACAAAAATTTAACTTTCTTTGGTCACAGAAAATGTATCAAGTTTTGTTAATTTTTTTAATTTAGAAAACTACAGAAAATAATTTAATGAATTACAGAATATCAATTACTCAAAATTAATAAAGATTGACTTTATTCAACTAGTGTTCATATAAATATATTAAATATAACACACAAAATTTAACTTTTTTCATTTGTTTATTTTATTAAATAAATTTTTATAAGATATTATTCCAATTTCTAGATATGTAGAGTTCCTGTTAAAAAGTCTGCTCTGCTATTTTTGTCAATGCAGTCTGCCATATGGGCCAGAATTGCTCATCATTTCTTTAGTTTTCACAGTGGCACCTGGTATACTTAATACTTTCTTAAGCAAATGATCAACTCAATCATTTGAGCAGATGGAATGATTAGATTGAACACTAATAGATTACAATCATAGAACAGACACATCTAATATGAGAAGTGAAGGAAAGTAATGAACCCATGCAACTTGTCACAGTGAAAGCTGAATGGCTAAATAGCATTAGAACAGCATCTAATAGAATAACATTTATTTAGCATCTAAATAGCAATAGAAGAATTATATGCAAAAGCAAAACTGGAACCTGAAATTTACATATAACTCAAAGTCACCTGCATGCATGCATGCAGAGTGTAAGAAACAAGAAGGCAGTAGCAAGAACAAAAGCTGGAGCTAAGGAGACTTAAAGCATTAAGTTATTAATAATCCCTCCAAAAGATGTAATATTCCCAATTATAGCACCTAACAAAATACTGGGAAATAATAAAATTATCATTACATTAAATCTTGGATATATGGAAATCAAATGAGATGAAGGAGATGTTTTATCTACAAGATCACATGTTTTTGCTAGGTTAACCAAGTATCTCATATCAACTGGTCAACTTATTGCCAATAAAACCTGCCAGTGTTTTATCCAGTGTTATCCAAACATTGCCTATGATAACATCAAGGGAACGTGATACAACTAATAGTAGGTATCTTTTTCACCTTCAATAGCACTTCTGTACTGAATTTCCTGACATATTTCACATTAAACTATAAAATCCTGAGTTAAGTAAAGTATAAGCTCTGTGAGGGAAAACACTATACCATGTCCAGCCTGTCCCTTTATCCCAGTGTCTAGTTCTGTGCCTGAGACAAAGTACATATTCAATGTATGTCTCTTTAAATTAATTGAACCAAGGTTCGTTCTTTCTCCTCAGCACCTCAGTGCTCTCTGGAAAGGAAAGAATACTGAAAATGCAAGTACTAATAAGGAATAAACGGAGTCTTGGAAAAATGTGTTAATAATTGTAAAGAAGGCCGGGCACAGTGGCTCATGCCTGTGATCTTAACATTTTGGGAGGCCACGGCAGGCAGATCACCTGAAGTCAAGAGTTCGAGACCAGCCTGGCCAACATGGTGAAACCTCATCTCTACTAAAAATACAAACATTAGCCGGGTGTGGTGGTGGGTGCCTGTAATTCCAGCTACTTGGGAGGCTGAGGCAGGAGAATTGGTTGAACGCAGGAGGAGCAGGTGGCAGTGAGCAGAGATTGTGCCACTGCACGCCAGCCTGGGAAATAGAGCAAAAACTCCATCTCAAATAATAATAATAATAATTGTAAAGGAAAATAGTGCCTCTCTGTTTATCTCTCTCTCTCTCTCTCATACATTGTGTGTGTGTGTATGAATAACACTAGATATACACACACATAAATACACACACATACACACACACAGTCTGTCATATATACATGAAGAATATCTTGAGATGAAACAGGAACCCCTCTTATGGACCACCTGAGCTCCCCCACATCAGCATGGAGATACAGGAAAAATTTTTAGTCCCTACAAGGGAGACTCCAGGCACCTAGTTAGGCCTGCAACCAGAAATTAAGGATGTAAATAAGTAAACCTCTGAGAAAGATAGTAATTGTGACTTAAACAATAGCTCCCCAAACAAGCCAGAGTCACAGGGTGTTACTTTCCCTATGTAAATTAATGATAACATCTTGACATATCTCCTTGAGTTGTATTGCAGAAACCAAGACCCTCATCCAGATGGAAGATACCAAGCATTGTCACATAGACCTCAGATAATGGGGAAATGTGGACTAAATTCTGATGGCCATTTTTGTTCTAAATGTCTTCCTGAGGAGCTAAAGAGATTCATGTCCACAGAACAAACCTTAACGTTCCTTTCTGCTAACCCCAAGTTTTTAGACAAAGCCTTGTTTTGTTAGGCAGTTGCAAATCAATGAATCTCTGAATCCATATATCACCTGTAAGCTCCCATCAAGATATTTTACCTTTTTAGACCAAATAAACTTATAACCTCCATGTATTGATTTACAATTTTGCCTGTAACTTCAGCTTGCTTGCAGCATAGCCCTGCCTTTAAAAACGCTTGCAAGCCATCAGGTAGTGCAGGTCTAGTATTAGCTGTCTGATTCTCCTTGCTTGGCACCCTGCAATAAAGCCTTCTTTCTCTTACCTCAAACGTCAGTGTTAGTGTTCAGCTTTGCTGTGCCTGGCAAATGGTCTGAGGTTCAGTTCAGTAACACTTTCAACCACTGGCAGAATTTAAATTAATAAACTTCTCACTGAATCTTTCTCCATGTGCTATTTCTATTCCTTCTTATGTCTCCAGCTCAACTTTACCCCTGGTTTCAGATCCCTTTGCCCCTGGAATAGATCCCTTTTAAACATTTGTTGAAACTTTGTTACCTGCCTAGGGCAATGGATTTTAAGTCCCATGCTAAATCTAATTATGATCATAAAACTATTACTTCCCAAGCATTTTAAATTTCTATTTCAGTAATGTTCTATTTTCATGATTTCAAGCAATATTTCCTGCTTATTTTCTGTCATTCAACCCTATGTCATTTTTGCCTGTGATTCTGACTCTTTTCCCAAATACCATGCTCTTTGATGTTTCCATGCTTCCTCTTTGTCTAACTGATGAATGACTACTTATCTCCATAGCATTAAACCCCATGACATCTCATCTATAAAGCTTGTCCCCTCTTGTCCCCTCTTTCTCAAGCCGTTATTTGGTACTATTTCCCTATTGACACTACAAATTCTACATGCCAGTGTATAAACACTGTGGAAGAGAAGTGTCATAGAAAAGAGATTTGGGTATCAAACTGCAAAAGTATTAAACATAAAAAAAGGTGTCCAGTTTCTCTTCTCTTCAACGTTGTCCTCCTTTTCCTATTTCTCATGTCTGTCCCCTGCCTGTTTCTTTTTCAGCATCTCCTTGCTGCCTCTAAGCTGTAATAAACCACAACCCTTGCTCTATCTCCCATCATTAAAAAAAGAAGAAAAAAAGGTCTCAAAAAGACTGTCCTGTAAATTATCAGATTGGGAATATGCCAGTGACACCAACCAAGAATCATGGAAAACTGAATTAATATCCATTATCAAAACATTTTTCCAGCAGGTAAAGATGAAAACTGTTAACTGAATCATATCACTAGAACAAGTACCCCTCTCTCCTCCTCTCTTCATTAAAGTCCAATACTGTTTTTACCAGAACACCTCGTATTCAGGTCTCCCTCATGTACATCAACTGAATAAAGTCTTTAAGTTATTTTTTGAATCAATTAAATTATTTACTTTTGACAAGAGAGAATGCTATAATTTAATTTCAAGATTTCAATTTAATAGCTGATTCAATTAGGGAAAATTACCCACATTGACAAGTTTTGTTGTCTACCTGTATAAAAATATAAATTAAAAATTAAATGAGATATTATTTGTAAAATACCCAATAGGTAACTCCCCTTATCCTTTATTTTACCATTGATTTTTATAGTATCACAATTATTTGAACATAAATTTTTTCTCTTACTGGATTTTGAGTTATTAGGATAGAGAAGATAATATATTCATTCACGTTTTATAACAACCACTGATCCCATGTATAGCATAAAGAATAAACCATAAACAGTATAATATTTTCTTAATAAATGCATGAGTTTTGGGACATTAATCTATGCCTCCTTACATAATACTAATAACACATACAGAAAAAAATTGAACTCCCCACTCCCGTCCTAACACACACCGATTCTCTTCCATTATAATTCATTAGAAATGTACCAGATGCTAATTGCTACATTCATTACTACATGGGAAAGTACATGGCCATCAAGAAGAGAGCGGGATTATCCAAACACAACTTGGAAGAAGGCAGGATTAAAAAGAGGAAGAGAGAATCAAAAATGTTGCTGCCAAACTCTTCTGTGTTTCACTTGTTCCCTGTTTTTCTGTATTATCAATGACTATTTATTTATCTATCAATCATCTACCTTTTCAGATGATTTTAAAACTTATTTTTCTAGTGTCCACAAACCGTTTGAATTACTGTTGTCTATTTATGATTTGCACATATTCTTAGTGCAACCAAAGGCATTGAATCAAGAAACATCAAACTTAGTATGTCCAAAAATGAACTCATATTTTTATTTCAAATGTATTTTTTTCTGGAATTTGCTATTTGTTAAGGAAGTTATTCCAGGCACTCAGCTAAAATATGAGGATCATCATAGTTCCCTCTTCATTGTCTCTAAACTATCAACGAATCATTAATGTCATCTACATATTCTGCTTCATCCATTTACCTAGAATCTACCTTCTTTACACATGCCCACTACTTTGTTTCAGACCTTCATAATTTCTTACCTGATATTTTACAATAATCCTGTAACCACTTTTTTACTTAAATATGAAGATATTTTTAACTAGATGTCATTTCTCATTTACTATAGTAATGAGAAATAGCACTTCCTCCTCCCTCTCTATCTTTTGGACATAGCCAAAATCCATTAGAATTCCCTGAATGTCTTGTGCTCTTCAACAAAATATGCCTTTATGCAATGTTCCCACTGCTTGGCTTACTTCACATTCATGTTCTCTGCTGGGAAGATTTCTAATTACCCTTTAGGACTCAGCATTAACATCGCCCTTCTCTGATGTTTTCCCTAGTACCCTTGGAGAGATTAGTTTTCCTCCCTCTGAGAGTAATCTGTACATATATCTACCATGGAACCTATCAAAATGCATAATCATGGCTTGTTTATGCTTCTTTCTCCTTCTCCCTGCTTGACAATTCTGCTATTCTTTGAGATTCTGGCATACATGGACTATGTATTGTTAAACTTTTTCTCCCCAGGGAAAGGCAGGTAGTAGCTTCAGATGCAGTAAGTTCTAAATTAATGTTTGAAATGTTTCTTAAATCCATGAACACATTCCTGTTCTGCTGTTCCAAATATATTTTGGTGCAGACAAACAGTAGAGAAAAGCTGCACAAATTTTAAAAATAAGAATGTTTTACTATACTATGCTATTGTCAAATATTACTTATCTGAGGGAATTTTTCTCCCTATATGCATAATAAATTATAATTTTCAGACAGAATTATATTAATACCAACTTTCTCTGTTATTTCAGTTATTCATACTTCTGTATTAATCAATTTCTGTATTAACATGATATATTTTATGAAGTTTTTTCATACTCACAATTTTTGTATTGTGTCTTATTAATATTACACTGAAATAAATAAAATTTCACTGGAGAAAAACAGTTTGTTGTAGTTTGACATATAAAATTATATGCTTATCTGCTGAGTTAGACTCTATTCCACTGACAAATAGCCCAGAGTAGTTCGCAGACACACAGGAGGCAACTTATATTCTACCACAAATGAAACTATTCATCTACTTGGACAAGATCCACTTTGCTGAGCACTCATGTCTGATTGTCCCTGAAACATCTGCTGTGGACTACTGCTGCTGTTCATGGATACTACTGTTTTTGACAGGCAGCATCACCTCCTGTGCCCTGGTTGATCCTGAAGGTAGATGGCATTACATCCACAAGGTATCACCAATCTCAGGAAGACTGACCATTTCATTGGTTATGGAGATGTCTTCCAACCTTTTTGCAGAGCAATGGTGCCTCTTATGAAGCATTGTATGTTCCTGGGTGCCATTGCAGTTGCTTGCTAGCTACCAGTGCTTGTCCTTGCCTTCATACACTAACACTTCTGCTAAGGACCAGTAAATGGCCTGCTGGGCGTGACTGCATCTGGGTCCACATGCACCCTCTTCGGTATCCAACTGTATGGTGAACAAAGACACCAATGCTATTGGGTGCTACCAGCTTTCACTAGGCATTCCACTAGAGTACTAATTTTTTAGGTGCTAAGGACATAATGCTCTCTGGAGTCTTCACTGTTCTGAAGTGGAGCTGTATTTCATAGGAGGTGCTAAACTTAGCAACATAGGGCCAAGCAGTGTTAGTACTATTGCTTATGCTGCAATGTCAAATGGCTCTAGGAACAGTCCTTTATCTTCTCTTGCTCTTCTCTCACTGCTTCTTTCTCTCATAATCTGTACTTTAATGTAAGTATTTATAAGATTGAGGCAAAATTAAATTATATTTAATTTTGAAACATCACACAATAAGGCTCATTGCATCCTCTGTTGATCAGGACAGTATTTGCTAAATTTTCTGTCATATTCTCAACCAAATGAATTAGGGAAAATATGGCATATTTAAGCATTATCATGAACATTCACTATACCAAACACACACACAAACACATGCTATAAGAACCTCTGTAAAATGTTGCAATGAGGGAATAAGACATTGCTTCGTTTGATCCATTTTATTTTATGCTTATTTTATCACAGGATGATGTATATCTGTGTGTGTTTGTGTGTGCATGTGTGTTTGTGTTACCTAACTATATTGCGAGATTTGGTGTTCTGTGGAAACATCAAGCAGAACTCTACTATGAAACCTAGTTGTCTTGTTGCTGACAATTTACTAAGACAAATCTCTCACAGGAATATAATCAATCTTTCATGGAGAAAGCCTTTTGAAAGTTCTATCCCGCAATGTCATTACAGGTTTTTACCCATGCATGGTTAAAACTTAAAAACTTAAACAAACTGGTATTTTCCTCCATAAAATTTTTGGTATATTGTCTGTCTATATATGTACACACATACACATGTGTATATGTATGCATGTATATATGTTTATATGTACACACATGCACATATGTGTATATGTGTTCATATGATTGTATTCATATATACAAACATACATACATGTCTGTACTCACAGAAAATGTGTTTAAATACTCACATAGAACTTTACTCTTTGGGGAAATAAAATGATAAAAGTCACATTTTCTGCAGTTAATTATTACTTTGAATTTATACACCAACTAATGGCCAAACAAAACCACTATTCGAATAGGAGGGTTTTTTTGTTTGTTTCTTAAAATCATAATGTTAAGAGATTGTAATTTGGTCCTTGTAATATCTCTACCTTCGGTGTAGTCTGTCTTTTTGTTGTGAAGTAGGTATTAGGTATCACCTCTTTGGTTAGGTTGTACTTCCCATAATCAAGGCAGAAGAATGGTCCCTTTGATTCCAGGCCAGCCTGGAAGGTCCAGAGTATAGTCTTTCCACAGATGTCCACTTATAAGATGCATCTGTCCTCGCATCATATTCTGCCAGCTGGCCTGGGGTAAGCTAGCTGGCAGTGCGCACAGTCTCAGGCTGCTGGCCAGCAGGCTGTAGCCCCATTGCATTGGCTTCTAAGCCTCATGGCTCATGTCCCTGAGGGCACTAGAGGAACTTGGGAACATTATAGAAATATTGGTTCCAGGGAAGTCATTTCACATTATTCGAGTACCAAGAAATATTGCAAGTTCAACATGAATACAAGCATGTACATAGGGAACTATTTAATATGTTAATTTAGACTAATTGTTATAAGGTAGCTGTGCATGTATAACACCTTGTCGTAGACCGTATCTTGCCATGACTTTGAGGAAAATGTGAAATGCACATGATGAACAAGTAAGGAAGAGATATAACAAGCTTCCAGTACAATTCAGACATGGACAGGTGGTGTTTCTCCAGGGAAATTTCAGAGTAAGCCTCATGGAATGTTTGCCTCAGCATTCTGAATTTTGATCCCTGCCTCATCTTCTGTTTTGCTGAAGAGCCAGAAACTATTGAACTAGAATAAACACCAAGGTTACCTTGACCATTCCATTGGCAGAGGCATTCTATAAACTACTTTAGGCAGGTGGATGTTTATGTTACACCTTAGGTTTCCAAGTGGAATATGTTCTTTTTCTTTACTCTTATTTGCCAAGATTGCCGGAGACAGTGTTTGAGAAACTTCATCTGTCTCTGAATTTCATAGGCATATGTATGCAATTTTTCAATGAAGTCTGGTTGAACTTTATTCCTTCACTTCTTTTGGATATAAAAGGGACTACTTCATTCCAGGTGGTGGCAGGAGAAGCTGAATACAGAAGCTAAACAGCAAATTTCAAAATCTAAGGCCTGTTACCACTCTAAATTTCCTGACCCATTTTCAAACACTGTACTAATGTAATCTTAGTTTAGGATTGGCAATTGTGCTTTTTCATTTGAAGCATTAATACATTTAATATTCAGATAACAAACATTATAAGCAGAGCCATAGCTTTGGCATAGCAATATCTCTTTTTGACACAGACACAGATGTCCTTTAATCCTCTGTGTTCTGTCATCTGGCTCACATATCCCTCATAGCTTAAACTTTCCTATGGCAAAGAGGTGTTGTTGTTGTTGTTTTTCTCTCCAGTTAGCAGCGGCTTTTAACTTCAGTGGACAAATTTATGTTGCTGCATATTCAGTTGCAGCTTAATTTTCTTTTTTTTTTTTTTTTTTTTGAGACGGAGTCTCGCTCTGTCGCTCAGGCTAGAGTGCAGTGGTGCAGTCTCTGCTCACTGCAAGCTCTGCCTCCCGGGTTCATGCCGTTCTCCTACCTCAGCCTCCTGAGTAGCTGGGACTACAGACGCCTGCCACCATGCCTGGCTAATTTTTTGTATTTTTAGTAGAGACGAGGTTTCACCGTGTTAGTCAGGATGGTCTTGATCTCCTGGCCTCATGATCCAACTGCCTCAGCCTCCCGATCGAACTGCCTTGGCCTCCCAAAGTGCTGAGATTACAGGCTTGAGCCACCATGCTTGGCCTGCAGCTTAGTTTTCTATTGTCACTGAGATGAAATAAGACAGATGGACCTATTATTATTAGGCATTGACAATAGCTAATAATGTCATTGTGCAATCTCCAGAGATAAACCTGAGAACATCTAAAGCCTTAGATGATAGAAAATTGCAACCGAAATACTTTTAAATATCATCTAAACTTTGAAATTAGAGTTTTCTGCATTTCTTTAGGTGGCCGGTACTTGGATTGAAATATTCACTCACCTTATTGGGTCTATGTAATGATGATAGGGAAATGTGTTGTAAAGCATTTTTAAATAGCATAATTTGCTGTATATCACAGAGGGATGTATTTTATTTTACATAAGAGGCGTCCAGGAGAAAACTATTCTATGCTTAGTGTTTTCACTCTTTTGAATATGACTCATATTCTAGGCAAGCACATCTTTCTTTGTTAAAAAAAATTACATGTCGTTGAACATTAATGGAGGACTCTCAGTCTTCAAAAGTTGGTGTAGATATGTTTTCCCTGCTCTTCTCCACATCTACTTCATAAGCACAACTATAGTGAACCAAAGGAGAACTCTGAAGATGGTAAAAATAAAAACTGATGTTTTTACCCCAGGACTGCAAGAACAATAGAACACCAGGCTGTCATATATACTCACACCCAACAGAAGGCTGAATACCTTTATTGTTTCTTGACCCAGAACATAGGAAACAAAAGGCCTAGAGAGGCTCATTCCTCTCCTGGATGAAGCAGGATTCCTTTGACAACATTAGATATGCTAATATGATCTGAAGAGAGGATTAATGGAGAGATTTGCCAAAAATAAGTGGCCGAAAGAAGAACTCTTTTCATAACCTGGCCTGAGGATCCCCTTTTCTGCCGAGAGACACAGAAATAGGTGAATAGACCAAGTGAGAGATGCTCAGCCACAGCAATTGGCTCAGCCCAGCAAATGTGGCCCTAAGAATTTCCTCTCACACCCAGAAACAGTTCGGTGGATGGGCTGAGGCAGCAAGACAGACCCAGGATGAAAACAAGCAGCCAATCCTAGAAAGTCTCTTAGACATCAGGCCTCAGATTACCCTCCAACACTGAGTGACATCTACATCTGATGAGACCCAGCCTGTGGGAACCCCTTCTGTCCCATAAGCAAAACCAGTAGAGGTTAGTCACAAACCTAGCATTGTCAGATAAACCAAGGAGAGCAAAATAACATCACAACAACTCTGTAAGTTAAACTGTCTTGGAACCATAACTGTGGGAAGACAGCCTGTTTCATGGCAAGAATGATGTCATCTTGAGGTAAAATCGCCATAATGACTGATGGTTGACTCATGCCTAACAAGACGTTCTCATAGCATAGATAACCCCTCTTAAAGAAGCAATGCCTATACAATAGATAATACCTCATAAAGATGCTCATCTAACCTCTCTAATGGTCATGAGTTTTTCAAGAAAGTCCGAGGCATGACTAGCTACACATGTTTTAGCAAAGAACTTATTATATAAAAGACATTTTTGGAATTGAGGGGGGGGTGTGGGTGTAGGGATGAATTATATCACAACTGCCTGAGACATCTTTTATGTTTGTAAGTCACTATCAAATGTTTCTTTCTGAGAACCAAGTTTGGCAGCCTCTTCCTTCAACCTTTCAGCTCCCTCAGCCTTTGGGGGTAGGTCTGAATATACCTGCTCAGCACAGAGCAATAGCGTACAGAAGTAGGCCACAGCCTGTCTGCTAAAATTAAACAGGATGACTGCTTCCTAAAATACCATATTTAAATTGGGCCCAATGTCTTCTAACAGAAAAATATGTTGAGTATACATAGAAAAGCATCCATCATGCCAAGAACCAAAAAAATCACAACTGCCATGAAACAAGCCAATTATCTGACACAAATGCTGAGATGAATCAGTTAAAATTATCTAGTGGAGTGAAGATGACAGAGAATAGAATCAGTGAACTTGAAAACAGATCCATAAAACTAAGCCAATCAGCACAACAGAGAGAAAATAGGCTGTAAAAAAATAGTGAATAGAGACTTAGGAACCTATGTAATAACAAAATATTATATGTTTTTTTAATCAGGATCCAAGAGGCTAGGAGAAAGAGCATGAGATTGAAAGAGTGTTCAAAGAAATAATGGCTGAAAACTTCCCAAATAGAATAGAATATACAAATCTACAGATTCAAGGAGCTAAGTGATCCCAACATGATAAATCCAAATAAGTGAATGCCAGGACGTATTATAATTAAACTTGATTAATAAAGAAAAAGAAATGGTCTTAAAAGCAATTTAAGAGAAAGAATGAATAGCCTGTAAGACAATATCAATTCACTCAGAGATAGTAGATTATAAGTGAAAAGAGAACTCCAATTCAAATGTCAATGAGTTTCTTATCTGAAACAATGGAGGCCAGAAGAACTTAAATAATATTTTTCAAGTTGTGCAAGAAAGAAAACTATGAACTGTGATTCTACGTCCAGGAAAACTATTCTTCAAGAGTGAAGAAGAAAGCAAAGGAAAATAAAATAAATTTGTCACTGGCAGAACTATCCTTAAAACTGACTGAGGAGACTTATTTAAGAAAAAAAGTAAATGATAAAACAATTTTGTATTATCAGAAAGTAATAATAAACAATGCAAAAGCAGAGATATTTGTATATAAAATGGATTATTTTTTGTCCTCATGAATTTTATATCTTATATACTATTGATTAAAACAAAATGAAAACATCATCTGATACCAAAGACAATAATATTTGAAAGTGGGTAAGTTAAAGAGACCTAACTTCCATTTAGATAAAGGTCTCTCTACCTTACCGACCTTTAAATATTTTTGCCTTATTCTTTCACTTGAAATAATAAACTCTCAGTAGACTGTGATGAGTCACATATGTACATTGTAATACCCAGAGAAACTAAAGAAACACTAAACAAATAGATACATTAAAAAACTCTGTTAAGTAAATCAAGGTAAAATCTGTGGCAAAAGTTTTTAAGTAACCCACAGAAGGCAAGGAAGGAGAAACCGGAGAAAGATAACAAAAGGAAACAAACAGAAGACAATACAAGATCAGACTTAAGCACTAACATATGAATCATTACCCTAAGTGCAAATGATCTATATGATCCAATCCAAAGATAGAAAATGGAAAAGCAGATGAACCCACCTGGAGTCTAAGTTAGTCATGGTAGACTTAACAGGGTTTAGAATTCAACCCTGTATTGATATTTACTGCATCAACCTTTAGCTTCTATGTCTTCCTTCTCCGGGAGATAACTGTCCCTTGGTATTTTGCCAGAGAGGTTCTCTGAATTCTACACTTCAACTTCATTTGGTAATCATCTTTAGTCTTTCTTTTCCTGTTTTTGATGCGTTGATTGTACCCAGCAGATCCCACTAAATTCTACTCTTAATTTCTTTAAAGGTGTGGAGGTCCTTGACTTTCTTAATAGAGGACCAATGTGGTAGGCAAATTCATTACAGCATTATAAATTCTTGTTGTATTGTGAACTATTATTTTATAAATAAATAGTTGTATTAAAAATTATTTTAAAATAAAATAATTTTTTTAATTTGTACAACCTATAGTGTTTAAGAAAGCAGAATGCGTCTTTGAAGAATATGTCTCTTGAAATATTATGAGGCAGTAGCAGGAAGAAAATTTTATCATAGTCTCAATGGTCCTCAAATTTGATAATAAAGTTATTATTTCCTTTCTACTTTGGTCAGTGCAAGTGATATACAGATAATTCACAATCTTAAATGTTTAGTTCAAAATGTGTCCTAAAATAGCAAAATATATTTGGGATTTCATATTCAAGAGCAAAATGTATTACTTAATTATTAATGCACTACAATTCAATTGCAGGTCTAAAATGTCACATCTTTATTTTAAGTGCTTATTAAATTCATTATTAATTCATGCTAATCACTAAATTACAAGAACACTTTCTGTAAGTTATACTGTTGAAAACAGAAAATACTCTGAAGCATTAAAAAAGTTGTTCACGGCTTTTCATTAAGTCACAATTGTTTCATTACCCTACCATCACCTTTATCACTGAATAAAATAATATATTAAAAGCTCTTTTGGAGAAAAGAAACAAAACTATGCATATTGTATTTTTAAATGAGATAGTTTTAATTTACTTTAGATTTCTATTGAAGAGTGAATTGAGTTTCATAAATGTGAACTTCTAAGAAATGTTTCAAAGTAGACAATTATGGCCTCTTCCACCGGAGGCAAAAGTAATTAACAATCTACGGCCTTATTTAACAACACATTCACAAAGGTCTCACTGCATCTTTAACAGCATCTCCAACAAATCAGCACATTAATTCTATGGAAAAGTATGATAATAATTCTAATTTTTAGCTTTAAACATGAGACCTTTTCTTCTTTCTACGATATGCAATAAAATTTCTAATAGTTGAATGAAAGATAAAAACAAGAGGTAAAATAATCATATCTATACACAATATTTCATTTATATTATAATAGCAGATATATCTTAATATGCTTTCATAGGTTTATTTTGCATTGTGAAAGGAAAATAAAATCTTGGGACCACAGACACACTACATTTTGCCAAAGGGAAAAGTTCAGCTTGGAAACAGTCACGCAAAAACAGCGTTTCTTTTATTCCCAAGCAGATAGCTGTAATTTCACATGCTTACTTTATCTTATGTAAAATGTAGTTTTATTGAGTGCAAGAGACATGCGTAATTGACCCTCCACTCCTTTCTTTTCATGTGTAAAATGTAGATTCACTGGGTGCTAATCAGAGCTTCACAAGAAAGTAACAACTTGCCCCATTGCCTACCAACTTACCGCCCCCCAATTTTTCTTCCCCTTCCACTTGCTCTTCAATTTTTAATTATTAAATTTCCCAAAACATTCTTTGCAACAAGCACAAGACATAGATCCTAGTAACTTGTGTTTTCCCCCAACCAGGTGTATCCTCAACCTTGGCAAAATAAACCTCTAAATTGATTGAGATCTTCCCCAGTCACTTTTTAGTTTACAGATTAGTTACACCTATGGAAAATGGAGCTATTGTCTTAAATTGGAATTATGTTAGTACATTTCTGTGTTGCTATAAAGGAATACCTGAGGCTGGGTAATTTGTAAGGAACAGAAGTTTAATTGGCTCACAGTTCAGCAGGCTGCACAGGAAGCATGGTACAAAGTGCAGCATCTGCTTCTTGTGAAGGCCTGAGGAAGCTTATAATCATGGCCAAAGGCAAACATGTCATCATGCCACATGGTGAAAACAGAGGCAAGAGAGAGAAGGGCAAGGTCCTAGACTCTTTTAAACAAGCAGATCTTGCATAAACTTAGAGTGAAGACTTTCTCATTACCACAAGGATGGCACCTAACCATTCATGAGAGATCTGACCCCATGATCAAAACACCTCCACGAGGCACCACCTTCAACATTGGAGATTACATTTCAATGTGAGAGATTTGGAAGGGACAAAACATCCAATATGTATCATTCTGCCCCTGGCTTCCCAAATTTTATGTTCTTCTCACAGTGCAAAACACAATCATCCCTTCCCAATAGTCTCCCAAAGTCTTAACTAATTTCAGCATCAACTCAAAAAGTCCAATCTCATTTGAGACTCAAGGCAAGTTCCTTTTACTTGTGAGCATGTAAGATCAAAAACAGGTTATTTATTCCAAGATACAATTGTGACACAGGCATTGGGTAACATTCTCATTCTGAAGGAATAAATCAGCCAAATGAAATAGGCAACAGGCCTCAAAGAAGTTCAAATTCCAGCAGGGTAGATATTAAATCCTAAAGCTCCAAAGTAATCCTTGACTCCCTGTTCTACATTCAGGGCACCCTGGTGCAAGAGATGGGCTCCCAAGGATTTAGGCAGCTCTGCCCCATGACTTTACAGGGTGCAGCTCTCATGGCTGTTCTCAAGGGTTGGTGTCCTGTGCCTGTGATTTTTCCATTCTGATGTTGCAAGCTGCTAGTGGCTGTAACATGCTGGGATCTAAGAGGTAGTGGCCTTGTTCCTACAGATTCACTAGACAGTAGTCTAGTGGGAACTCCATGTGAGGGCTCCAACTCACATTTCCCCTCAGCATTGCCCTAGGAGCAGCTATTAGGAGGTTCTCCATCCCTGCAGCAGGCTTCTGCCTGGCCACAGAGGCTTTTCTATATAGCCTGTGAATTCTTAGTGGAAACTATCAAGCCTTCTTCACTCTTGCATTTTATGTATCTGCAGGCTTAACATCATATGGAAACTTCCAAGGCTCATTGCTTGTGCCCTGTGGAGTGGTGGCCCAAGATATATCTGGGCTCCTTTGAGCAAAGGCTGGAGATGGAGTGGTCAGTGTGCAGAGAACAGTGTCCTGAGGATGCACAGAGAAGTGGAGCCCTGGAGTGGCTCCCCAAATCATTTAGTGCTTCTAGTCCTCTGAGCCTGTGATGAGAGGGGCTGCCTCAAAGATTTCTAAAATGCCTTTGAGGTATTTTTCCCATTGTCTTGGATATTAGCACTTGACTTCTTTTTAGTCATGCAAATAACTCTAACAAGTTGTTGCTCTACAGTCCATTTGTGTTCCTGTCCTAAATAGACTTGTTCCTTCTCTACCACACAGCTAGGTTACAAATTTTCCAAACCTTTACGTGATGCTTTTCTTTTAAATATAAATTTCAAATTTAAGTCATTCCTTTGCTCTCATATCTGATCATAGGCTGTTAGAAGCTGTCATGTTTCTTGCATGCTTTGCTGCTTAGAATTTCTTTTCTTTTCTTTTTTTTTTTTTTTTGAGATGGAGTTTCACTCTTGTTGCCCATGTTGGAGTGCAATGGCGCGATCTCACCTCACGGCAACCTCCGCCTCCTGGTTTCAAGCGATTCTCTTGCCTTAGCCTCCCGAGTAGCTGGGATTATAGGCATGCACCACCACACCTGGCTAATTTTTTGTATTTTTAGTAGAGATGGAGTTTCTCCATGTTGGTCAGTCTGGTTTCAAACTCCCAACCTCAGGTGATTCTCCCACCTTGGCCTCCCAAAGTGCTGGGATTACAGGCTTAAGCCACTGCACCTGGCTAACTGCTTAGAATTTCTTCTGCCGTGTACCCTACATAATAATTCTTAACTTCAACCTCTCACAGATCTCTGATATATTAGTCTGTTATTGCATTGCTATAAAAAAATACCTGAGACTGCGTAATTTATAAAGGAAAGAGTTAATTGACTCCTGGTTATGCAGGCTGAAAGGAAGGCATGGAGGTATCTGCTCCTCTTCTGTAGATGCCTCACAAAGCTGAATGGGGAGCCAGGTGTCTTACATGATGGAGAAGGAGCAAAAGAGAGATAAACACTTTCAGGCAACCAGACCTTATGAGAACTCTATCACAAGAACAACACTAGAAGGACAGTGCTAAACCATTAGAAACCACCTCCATGATCTAATTACCCTCCATCAGGCCCTACCTCCAACACTGGGGATTAAAATTTGCCAGGAGATTGCGGCAAGGACAGAGATCCAAACCATATCGGCTGGGATGTGGACAGAATGCAGTCAAACTTTGCTAGGTCATAACACATACGACCTTTATTTCAGATCCCATTAACTTCCTCATTTCCATCAGAGACCTTGCCAGCCTGGATTTCACTGTTTCTCTCTCAGAATTTTGGTCACAACCATTTAATAAGTCTCTAAGAAGTTTAAAAGTTTCCCTCATCTTCATGTCTTCTGAGCCCTCTAAACTCTTCCAACCTCTTCCCATTACCCAGTTCCAAAGCTGCTTCCACATTTTCAAATACCTTATATAAACACCCCACTCTGGGTACCAATTTTCTGTGTTGGTAAGCTTTTGTTATAGCTATAAAGGAATAACATCTGCTCTTTGTATGCTTGCGATTATGGCAGAAGGTGAGCGGGGAGCAAGTACATCACCTGGCAAAAGCAGGAGCAAGAGAGAGAGAGTAGAGGGAGGTCCCAGACTCTTTGAAGCAAGCATATCTTGCATTAACTCAGAGAGGGAACTCCCTTATTACCACAAGGATGGCAACAAGCCATTCATGAGGTATCCATTCCCATGATCAAAACACCTCCCACCAGGCCCCACCTTTAACATTGGGGATTACATTTCAAGATGAGATTTGAAGGGGATAAAACATCCAAACCACATCAGGGCTGAAGCTTTTGTTGTTATTTTGTTTAGACATTTTTTTAAAAAGTAGTAAAGTATTATCTTTGAACAGTAGGATCTATATTCTGATATTTTACATAAATAGCTCAAGGAAAATGGATTATACCAGCTTCTTATCTGAGTGGAACATATTATAATATCGCATTTCCTTAAAGATTTGAAGGATAGGTGAATGTAAAAGACTTCTAGTTAAGATTTGTTGAGATCAGCCAGGAGTGTTATTTGTCCACCACAAAGCTCCTTAAGAAAATATTACTACTTGTTAAACATACAGACATGAAATAAATGCTTTTTACCACTTAATTTCATTATTCCTTCTTTTAACTTTATGCATTGTACTAACAATTATTGCAGAAATGCTTAAATATACAGGTCACCTATGTGCTTGTTAAATGGTAGGTATTTTTTAAAATAAAATAGATAAAAATATTTTTAAGGAAATCAATAGCAGATTCATTTGTTAAGTAACATTTTTGAACCCTAGCACAAGAATTGAAACAATGAGTAAAAGAAAAAAGGAGGGAATGTTTGTGTTAATATAAGAAAAACCTCAATCACTTTCAAGATGGAGCTGTGTATTCATAAGGGTTTTTGAGTCATTACCACTTCAATTATTTAAGTATAGTTGGAATTGTATGTATAGTCCAAGGGCTTAAATATCTGTGGAACAAATTCCATATAAGTACTTAGATAACCTTTCATAATATTAATTTTATATACAGCTTGAAAGTAACTTGTAAATCAGAGTTAAAGCTAGGGTAAGACAAAGATATAACAAGTTTATTATATTCGTTACTGGTTTTAAATACACAAAGTAATTGCTTATACTGAAAAGAATTGATTTGATTTCTATAGCAGAATTTCTTGTGCTTTTTAAAGATTACGTTTTGTATATCAATCTGGTTATTAATAGTGTTTTGTTTATTAAAAAAGTTTGAATACTCCAAGAAAGTCTTAATTCTGTTCTCCAAGTTTATTGCCATTTTCAATTACATGTTTTGCACTGCTATCAGAGTGGCCTTTACAAAATGCAAGTATAAACATATCACCCTCCAGCTAAATTTTCTCCAGCAGCTCCCGATGGTCTTTCAGATAAGTCAAAATTCCACAGTTTTGCCACGAAATAGTTCATCATGCAGTCCTTTATATCTGACCTTTACTACCTTAACAATCCCTATTGGCAAATTATGAAACCTCCCATGGTATTTTTGGCATTTAACCTATGCATTTCTCATTTTTTCCTGGACTGTTCTTATCCCAGCATCATCTCTATCTCATAAGCTTGCCCTGACTCCCAACTTGATTCTGATTCTGCCTTTTAATCTTTAGAATTTTTAATGCATTCTTAAGGATTTTGCAGTATTCTTTGTTTTGGCTTACATTTCACTCCTTTTATTTTTACATAGCTGACTACCTCAGTCTAATGCTTCACTCTTGGTTTTTGCCTTGGGACCCTACTTATGACATTCACTTACAAGTATCATTTAGATGTTGTCTCTTTGGCTTCAGCTTCTTTCTGCTTACACTCCAAGCTCAAATTTCACAACAAATATTACGACTTCTTGAATTTTAAATTCTTCTTTTCACCTTTATGTTTTAATTTTTCTTAATTTCAGTGTCTTGAAGACTTTTTTTTTCCCTCTCTGTACAGGGGAACCTGATTGCTACATACAACAACTTTCTTAAGCACACACCCATTTTGTTCATTACATCAATAAAAATTTATTGAGCATCTATATTTCATATACCTTTTTGGGGGAAACTGCAGAGAGAAAAATCAATCAAACCCTAAGCCAGTGAAAGTTGTATTCCAGTAATGTGTCAGATTTGTCATACCTCTAAATTAACTACATATGTTCTTATATGGGTTTATGAAGATACAGGCCAATATTGGATTGCAGAGTCTGAATGCCTCTGTCTTATTCCTTATTAATCTACTTATGAGTAAAAATAACTTTCTAGTATAGTATAAGTGATATGTGTTATATTTCTCTATGTTAATATTGTAATATCAATATATATTTTACAATTGCATTTGGAATTTGAAATTAAGCTAAATATGATTAGACTTCATATAAAACCTTTGCCAATGATGTAATCCTTAGTACTAAAGAAACTAGGTTAGAATTTGCAAGTGCAAATGATGAAATAAATGCTACTTTCCATGCAAAAACCTGTACATTGTAAATATAAAAAGATAGTGATAGTGTTTAAAAATCAGAAGTTTCACATGAAAAGCTAATATCTTAAATTCAATATTTTATTTTAAAATATATTCGTATTTATTTAAAATCATAAACAACAGTCACAAAATTGTACGCTGCAGCAACACAGTTTTGAGATAAAGTAAAAAAACAAGAAACAGAATAAGAAATTTACAAATATATAGTTTCTTCTCTCATATCAGACATGATAATTAGAGGAACCAAATAAAAAAAAACAAAATAAAGTATGTACTTTTACTTGTAGTATGCTTTCAAGATAATTTGCAAATTCTATTTTCAAAAACCATATAGTCCATGTGGTTCTCAAATTCTCCTTTAAAATAAATTTATTTGGGTTAAGATATTTTTTAAATCAAGAAGTGCATACTTATTGATAGCTATTATGTTGCCTTACATTACCAAGAAATTAACATAAATAAATTTATACAGTTTGTCAATATGAAATTTAGAAGAATGCATGCTCATTTAAAATAATAGAAATGTATTTTTTTAAATTTATTTATTTTTTTTCTTTTATTATTATACTTTAAGTTTTAGGGTACGTGTGCACATTGTGCAGATTAGTTACATAGGTATACATGTGCCACGCTGGTGCGCTGCACCCACTAACTCGTCATCTAGCATTAGGTATATCTCCCAATGCTATCCCTCCCCCCTCCCCCCACCCCACAGCAGTCCCCAGAGTGTGATGTTCCCCTTCCTGTGTCCATGTGATCTCATTGTTCAATTCCCACCTATGAGTGAGAATATGCGGTGTTTGGTTTTTTGTTCTTGCGATAGTTTACTGAGAATGATGATTTCCAATTTCATCCATGTCCCTACAAAGGACATGAACTCATCATTTTTATGGCTGCATAGTAGTCCATGGTGTATATGTGCCACAAATGTAAAGAGACAGTGATTATCTATTTTGAGTAATTCAGTATGCACAGCCTCTCTATTTCAGCTTAGATAGACACCATGCAGGGAGGTGGCCTGATATCTAACTCTGTTACAAAAGCATGATCAGTACGCCAATATCTAATGCTCAAGAAAAGAAGGTACTAAAGGTAGAAATATAGAAGGTAGATTGAGTCAGACAGACCAAGTTTCAATCCTATTATATACAACTTAAAAATCTGTGCACATTTGGCAAGTTGGTTATCTTTCCAATTCATTCATTCATGCAGCAAATAGCAACACTTAAATTGTTAGGACCTGTCCAATTGAAGCTCATAGTCCAGCAGAAAACAGAGTTTTGAATGACTTGGTAGAATTATTATGAGTATTAGCGTAATGCATGATATTCTGATTAAAAATAAAAAGGAAACTAGCAAAATCAGTGTCATCATCTCTAAAATGTGTTTAATAGATGCAGTATACTTACTTTATAGGGCTGTATGAGGGTTTGTTAAAATAATGTGCATAATACAGAATATTTTAGCAACTTTCACTTGGTATGTACTTAAAATTTTTCTAAATATAAAACAAATAAGTTATCAGAAATATGCAAATCAGATTTAGGTAGCCAACATGAAACCATCATTTAGTGACTAACAGTTATGATTTGGAGTTATGATACACAACAAACAGTTACGAATTACTAAGTACATGTTTACACTCTTCATGCAGACTTAAGGCACCCTCACCATTAGTGAAGTTCCTTCATCCTTAAAAGTGGAGGTTTTTTATTAGGGTATTTAACACTAGACAAATCTTGTACTTAGTATTCATTGATAAATTACTTAATTAAGGAACATGAGAATGCTAGATCCATGAGGGAAAAGTTGAGAAGAAAGAATACATAACCATGACTATAACTCACAACAGCTTCGGTTTCTCTATAATAAAATACAATCAAAATCTCAGGGACTTAAAACAATAAAAATTTAATCAGGCTACATATCTATTAAGAGTTGGAATGTTGCAAAGAGGAAATTAATCAAAACCCAACCCAATGAAGTCTGTAGTCCAATAATATGTCAAACTTCTCATACTTGTAATTTAAATATATACATTATTAGATGTGTTTATGAAGACACAGTCCAGTAGCCAATTACAGAATCTGAATACTTGTTTTATTTCTTATTAATCCACTTGTAAGTAAAATAATTTTATAATGTAATATATGGTATATATTTATCTACATTAATACATGTTTTAAGCTGCTCCACATATTCTTTAATTTGAGACACAAAGTGAGAAGAAAAACAAATTTAATTCTAAAGCTTGTATGCCCAGGGGTAGCAAACATCATTTACCTTCATATTCCATTAGCTAAAGAAACCATATGGTCAAGTCTTTTGTCAGCTAGAATATAAAATTATCACCAAAAGAGAGAAGATAATAAGAATATTAGTCTGCCATGAAGTTATAAATGTTTCAATATGCAAATTAACCAAATCCACTCATTTCATGAAGTACAGAATGTGCTTTAATATTATTTCTTTATAATTTAGTCAATTAAATACTTCTTTGTGATTTCAAAATAGTTCAGATAATATGAAATGAAACAGAAATTTCATGTTGTTCAGGAGTCAGAGTCCATATGGCATATGATTCTTGCATTCAGGATATCAATAATTGACATTAGGCATGATATGTTCATATGGCCTTGGGAAAATATTGTATTTGTAGAAGGTATGAGGTTTTTTCCCATTGATTACCTTTTATTATCTCTTCAAACAATGCTAAATTATAGCCATATTTTATATATGATTATAATTGTGTGTGTGTATGTATATGTATATGTGTATGTGTGTGTGTATATATATATATATATATATAGTCCTACCACGGTCTCTAAGTGTTCAAGTGAAAGGAAGAATTGCATGTTTCTCACTTGAAATAAAAAACTAGAAAGGATTAAGCTTTGTGAGGAAGGCACGTTGAAAGCCAAGATAGGCCAAAATTCAACTGCTTGTGCCAAAAAGCCAAGTTATGAAAGCAAAGGAAAAGTTCTTGAAGGAAATTAAGTGCTACTCCAGTGAACACACTAATGATAAGAAAGTGAAATAGCCTTATTGCTGACATAAAGTAAGTTTTAGGAGTCTGGTCAGAATATGAAGGCAACTATAGCATTCCCTTAAGTCAGTCTGGTCAGAATATGAAGGCAACTATAGCATTCCCTTAAGTCAAATAATAATCCAGAACAAGGCCTAACTCTTCAATGCTAAGAAGACTGAGAGAGGTGAGGAAGCTGCAGAAGTAAAGTTGGAAGCTAGCAGAGGTTGCCTCATGAGGTTTATGGAAAGAAATCATCTCTGTATTACAAAAGTGAAAGGTGAGGCAACAAATGCTAATGTAGAAGCTGCAGCAAGTTATCCAGTCGATCTGGCTAAGATCATTGATGAAGGGAGCTACACTAAACAACAGGTTTTCAATGTAGGCAAAAAAGCCTTATATTAGAAGACGGTATTGTCTAGGTCTTTCATAGCTGGAGAGAAGTCAATGCCTGGCTTCAAAGCTTCAAAAGACACACTGATTCTATTGTTAGTGGCTAATGCAGCTGGTGATTTTCAGTTGAAGCCAATGCTTGTTTATCATTCTGAAAATTTTAGAGCCCTTAAAAATTATGCTACATCTACTCTGCCTGGGTTTTACAAATAGAACACTAAGTCTGGATTATAGTATATCTGATTATAGTATGGTTTACTGAATACTTCAAGCTCACTGTTGAAAACTTCTGCTCATAAAGAAAGATTCCTTTCCAAATACAACTTTTAATTGACAATGAACCTGGTCACCCAAGAGCTCTGATGAAGATACATGTGGAATTTAATCTTTGTTTTATGACTGGTAACACAACATCCATTCTGTAGCCCATGAATCAAAAAGTAATATTTACTTTCACATCTTATTGTTTAAGAAAATAGATTTCGTAAGTATATAGCTGCCATTGATAGTGATTCATCTGATGGATCTTAGAAAAGTAAGTTGAAAACCTCCTGGAAAGGATTCATCATTATAGATGCCATTGAGAATATTTGTGATTCATAGGTAAAGACCAAAATATTACTTTTAAGAGGAGTTTGAAAGAAGTTGATTTCAACCCTTACGGGTGGTTCAGACTTCAGTGGAAGAAGTAACTGCAGATACACTGGAAATAGTAAGAAAACCAGAATTAGAAGTGGAGACAGAAGATGTGAATGAATTGCTGCAATCTCATGATAAAATTTGAACAGATGAGGAGTTGCTTCTTATGGATGAGCAAAAAACGTGGTTTCTTGACATAGAATCCACAGGTGATGAAGATTCTGTGAACATTGTTGAAATGACAACAAAGGATTTAGAATATTCCATAAACTTAATTTACAAAGCAATAGTAATTTGAGAGGATTGATTCAAATTTTGAAAAAAGCTGTACTGTGGGTTAAATGATATTAAATAGCAGAGAAACCTTTTGTGACACAGTTAATCAATGCTGCAAGCTTCTTTGTCCTTTGAGAAATTGCCACAGCCACTCCATCTTTTGACAACCACCACACTGATCAGTCAGCAGCGATCAACATCAAGGCAAAACCCTCCACCAGCAAAAAAGATTGCAAAAAATAAGGCTCAGATGATTCATTAGCATTTTTAAACAATAAAATATTATTTAAGTTAAGGTCTGTAATCCTGTTTTAAGACATAATGCTATTGCACACTTAATAGGCTACAGTATAGTATAAACATAACTTTATATGCACTGGGAAACCCAAAAATTTGTGTGACCCCCTTTATTAAAATATTAATTTTATTGCAATTATTTGAAAGCAAACCCACAATATCTCAAGGAATTCCTGCAAAAGTAAAAAGGATAGGAAGATAAATAGGCATGGTTATTATCTTATATTAATATTATATATTAAAAAACATATATATATATAACAAAATAATATCTGACCTTAAAATGTGTACAGACATTTCCAAATTGATTAAGACTTAAATATCCATTACAAAATACTTGGAAGAGTGATTGTTTTTGTTAGAATCATCAACCTCTAAAGAATCTGGTGAATGCTCTGATACTCTCTCAAGAAAAATGTACATACAAAATTTTCATGTAATTTAAAAACATCCACAAATATGGAGCCATGGTTTCAGTTTATGAGTCAAGCGTTAAGATCTTCAGAAGTAAAGGACTACATAAGTAGAGATCCCATATTGGAGTGGCAAGAATAAAAACATTGACATATATTTCATTAAAAAGTACAGACAGATCTGCCTATACATAACATTTTATATTATTTAGGTACATCCATGTGTCCAGTGAGAAAAGTGATAAGAATCAGCTTAGTAACAAGGAAAACATGAGCAGCCCCCTTTCCCTTTCCACAAACTGCCCTCCCCTGTATTTGGATATTGTGAAGATATTAGTCATAGTGTTTTAGGTCACTTTTCATATTTCAGAAATATCAGACATTGTATTACTCGTATTAAATAGTCATCTAAAGGATACTTGCTATTAAATGATATCTAATATTAAGAAAATAAAATATATTTGATCTGCATTGCATAGTATGCATATAATATCTAGAATGTATTTGAAATTTCCACTCAATTTTCTAAGAAGTAAAGCATTGATCCTAAATGTATTCTCTATTTCAATAAATAAGTAGGAACTATTTAGTTTTCCATTTATAAAATAAAAGAATAATGTCTCTAAGTTAATTCTTAGTTCTCTCCTTCATATAATTCTTCATATAATAAAACTCATTTTTGTACTCTCTCCTATAACTAATAAACATAAAAGAAAGTAAATATTTCACCCAAGCCTATCACATTATATTCAGTTTATTTAGTAGAGTCTCATTTATCTAGAAAGAAAACTTAATGTGTAAATGTAACCAAACAAAATGAACATCTTTTTCTATTGACTTTATTGCTTAAATCCAATGATATAATATGGCTTCATCTACCTCTCAGAATACACTTAACACATGCAGAAGCAATTTAGCATTTTCCCAATTCACATCCAGTGCAATATTTAAGAAGATTTTATCTAATTGAACACATGGTGGAGCAAATTTAATAAGAGTATTATTGTAAATGCTTCAATGGCTAGATGGGAGACAAGCGAGGCAGACAGCAATGTGAATATCATCCTGGTAGGGCTCTCCAGGCTAAGAAGTCATTTGCAAGATGTTTTGACTGCTGAGAATGTCAGCTATAATCAATCTCAGAGATAGAAGGAGGCTGTAAATGGGTGAGGTAATGTTCAAATACATTGAAATGTGATTAGTCATAATAAAAGGTAATGGATATGGCTGCATTGCTTTGAATAAGCTCAGAGAATATTTTGGTTCATAAGTGGTATATTTCTGCCTTATTAAAAAAATGTATTCAATGTAGTTATGTCATGCACTCATTGTCTTCCAGATCCTTATATCTAACTTACTTTCCTTGTCTTTGGGAGAGAGCACATATCTGATAGAAGCTAACTTTAATACAAGCTTTTTTTTGCAAATACAAAACTGGTTGATGATATGTATGCAGAGTTTCTTCTTATCTATCTTTTTTAAACAATAAGGGTATATTTCTCCTTTAATGTTTAACTTGTTTACTTACCGGAAAGGGGTCCCAATGCAGACCCCAAGAGAGGATTTGTGGATCTCACGCAAGAAAGAATTTGGGGCAAATCCAGAGAGTAAAGTGAAAGTGAATTTATTAGAGAATTAAAGACACAAAATAATGGTTACTCCATAGACAGAGCAGCGGCATGGGCTGCTTGACTTAGCATATTTATGGTTACTTCTTAATTATATGTTAAACAAGAAGTGGATTATTTATGAGTTTCCTGGGAAAGGGGTGGGGAGTTCCCAGAACTGAAGCTTATTCCCCTTTTTAGACCATATAGGGTAACTTATGGATGTTGCCGTAGCATGTATAAACTGTTATGGTGCTGGTGGGAGTGCCCTTTAGCATGTCAATGCATTCTAATTAGCACACAGTGAGCAGTGAGGGCAACAGGAGATCGTTTTCCTGGCCATCTTGGTTTTGGTGGGTTTTAGCCAGCTTCTTTACCACATTCTGATTTATCAGCAGGGTCTCTGTGAACCGTATCTCATTATACCAGTCCTGCTAACCTCCTGTGAATGCCTAACCTCATGGAAAGCAGCCCAGCATATCTCAGCCTTATTTTACACAGCCCCTATTCAAGATGGAGTAGCTCTGGTTCAAACATCTCTGACAGTTACATCAGATAATTCTTCAGACATTATAAAATTGTTTTCCTGCCTTCCTCCTTCCTTCCTTCCTTCCTTTCTTTCATTTTTTTTTTGATGGAGTTTCACTCTTGTCGCCCAGGCTGGAGTGCAATGGCATGATCTCGGATCGCTGGAACCTGTGCCTCCCGGGTTCAAGCGATTCTCCTGCCTCAGCCTCCCGAGTAGCTGGGATTACAGGCGCCTGCCACCATGCCCAGATAACTTTTGTATTTTTAGTAGAGACAGGGTTTCACCATGTTGGCCACGCTGGTCTCGAACTCCTGACCTCAGGTGATCCATCTGCTTTGGCCTCCCAAAGTGCTGGGATTACAGACGTGAGCCACTGCACCAGGCCTTGTCTACCTTTTGAAGATAAATGAGGGCAAAAACAATAGAGTCTGCCTGCTTCACTAATAAAGATAGTACAAAGGCCATTCAAATTTAAATAAGTAGGTGAAATATTTGGTTTTATTAAGTTCAAGCATTTTAAACCCACAAATCTGGACTTAAATAAAGATGTTTCACAAAACAGCAATACTTTTAGAATATTATAAAGTTTTGTTTTATGAAGAAAATGTTTTGTTTTTATTTAAAAATATATTTTCTCAATCATTTTAAAGGTTTGCTCTGCAAATATTTTCCCCTAATTTATAGAGAGCGTTTCACCTAACATTCACTGTTATTTTAATCCACGCATAACGACTTGGTGAAAAATAGTGTATTAGGAATTGAAGGTACAAAGAAACATCTAATCCTTGTCAATAAGTAGATCAGAGCACAGCTGTGGAGGAACATTTCAGCTCTCATCAGTAGTCTGAGTGGTGGATCTCAAATTAATCATGTTCTAACTATAAAAAAGTGTTCCTGGTAGGGCACTCACTGGAACGCTCCAGGTAGTTTCCATTCTGTTAGGCACTGACAAAAACACTTGAAGCTTGAAAGGGTGGAATAGTGGAGGGTGGGAATAGAGAGGAAAGGAAATAAATGATGCAATATCTTTCTTTTTCCTTTTTCTCCTATATACTTTAAAAATCACAATCTCAAGTCACTTTATCTATAGCACTTTTTGCCTACATATGAACAGAGGACTATTGTAAGGAAAAGACAAAACTACACAGTAATAAAAGCTATTCTGGGAAATGATAGAGGTCTTTTTCATCATTCTATCTTGTCCTAAAATCTTATATGTTAAAGAAAATCACAAGTAAACATTTAAGTTTGATAAATTCAATGATAATTATCCTATTTTGTAATGGTAAAATGAATTCAATAATAGTCCTTATATGCATTACAAATTAAACTTGCTTGATATCCAACTATGTCCAAATTAGACGGTAATTAGTGTATTATCTTTGCTGCTTAACAGCAATAAAATCCCTAGACTTTTTTTTTTTTTATCAAAAGCACACTTGAAAATTGACCTACGATGATTCACTTTAACCTGATGTCATTGAATGTAAACATTCCTCAAAATTTTTGGCACTCTTAGTTTCCAAAACTAATGAAAGTTTGGTTTTCTATCAACTTATATTTCTTTTTCATTTTAAGGAGGGCTTCTTTTCTTCATCTTGTTTTATTTAGTTTAGATTTTTCTTTTGGTAGGAAGACACTGTGTCTATAAGTCCATATTATATAGAAATTGCTATCTGGGAGACTGGAAGGAATTCAACTAAGTATCTTAGTCTAAGCATTCAAATTCTTATTTGTAAAGTAGTCTAGAAATCTAAAATTCATGGTTAATTGAAAAGAACTTTGAAAACTATACAGTGTAAAATTATACTTACCTCTTTTGTCTACTGTCTTCATTGATTTCAGAGGGAATAAATTATAATTAAGAAAAGTGCTCATCATCACTGGCCATCAAATCAAATCAAAACCACAATGAGATACCGTCTCACACCAGTTAGAATGGTGATCATTAAAAAGTCAGGAAACAACAGGTGCTGGAGAGGATGTGGAGAAATGGGAACACTTTTACACTGTTGGTGGGACTGTAAACTAGTTCAACCATTGTGGAAGTCGGTGTGGTGATTCCTCAGGGATCTAGAACTAGAAATACCATTTGACCCAGCCATCCCACTACTGGGTATATACCCAAAGGATTATAAATCATGCTGCTATAAAGACACATGCACACGTATGTTTATTGCGGCACTATTCACAATAGCAAAGACTTGGAACCAACCCAGATGTCCAACAATGACAGACTGGATTAAGAAAATGTGGCACATAAACACCATGGAATACTATGCAGCCATAAAAAATGATGAGTTCACGTCCTTCGTAGGGACATGGATGAAGCTGGAAACCATCATTCTCAGCAAACTATTGCAGGGACAAAAAACCAAACACCGCATGTTCTCACTCATGTGTGGGAATTGAACAATGAGAACACGTGGACACAGGGAGGGGAACATCACACAGTGGGGCCTGTTGTGGGGTTGGGGGAGGGGGGAGGGATAGCATTAGGACATATACCTAATGCTAAATGATGAGTTGGTGGGTGCAGCACACCAACATGGCACATGTATACATATGTAACAAACCTGCACGTTGTGCACATGTATCCTAAAACTTAAAAGTATTAAAAAAAAAAAAAAGAACTCTGAGCTTACCATGTAGTCAATTACACTGCTTTGTGAAACAAATGTAGAAAACAATCTCTAGTGCACCAAGGTACAACAAAAAGAACCTGAATTATAATGTTATGAAGACCTATTTCTGAGTTATATTTTCACCATTAAACATTGTGTTTTTGTAAATAATACAATTAATTTAGTAAACTTCAACTCCCAGTTTATTCATTTGTAAAACTAGAATAATAAACTTCATAAGTTTTTGAAATTAAATTAGACAATGTTCGAAGTACCTAGACCACAATAGATTTTAATTTCATGAGCACAACTTAGTTGTTTCAATTAGCAGTATGAGCACAATACTTTAAATAACGAGTTAAAAAGCATTGAGGTGGTTATGCAGAGAATTTAGATGCAGTACAATAATTTAGCAACCAATTTTGGTTTTAATTCCTGCCTTAAAATTTAAACAAGAACAAAAAGTTCGTATTAAATAGCAGGCATATCACAGGAAATCTCTCAATAATTGAATTCATATTTACTAGAAAAAATGTATACATACTTCATCAGAAATTATACTCCAAATTTTTTACTTCAACTTTCACCCATTTTAAGGTTTAGCAACATATCAATTTAAATTCAATATTAATGTTGACAACCACATTTTTACAAATAGAATATTTTTATCCAAAGAGAAAAGAGAGAAAAGTTTATTTTAGAATTTCATTATTGCTGTGGGACACAGAAATACATTTCTATGGCTATGGGATTCCATGACAAATCCTTGCGAGACTTGATTGAAACATAGTATGTGAATATACTAAGCAGGATGAGTGATTTTAGGAAAAACAGTATTAAATTGATCTCCTACATGACCTAAATACTTCACTTCAGAACTACATTATAAATACTTCAAAGATATTAATGGACAAAAAGTAATGAGATATTTTATGATAAAATTCAAGGCAAAGAGTTCATTTTTAATATAAATACTTTCATTCAGGGCTTAATATGAAAAATGAACATTAATGTAAAAATTCAATTAATCTTTTAGACCAGTTATTTTGGCCTGAGCTTTTTCACATTGCAAGTTAACAAAAGCTATACTTCTTTCCTATTCCTGCAGGTAACAGAATAAATACACACTTTGGTCATTACTAACACTGTTTGTGAAAAGTAGTTATGCATGAATTATTAGTAAAACAGGTGATAAAAGTGCCATGTCAAAAACCAAATAATTTGCATTTCCCTAAGTAATGTTTTCTAATTTTTAAAAGATATTTTCATATAGGCATATAATAGGTAATGGTCAAATCAAGATATTTAGAATATCCATCACCTTGAATACTTATCATTTATTTGTGTTGGGGACATTTCAAATATTCTCTTCTAGCTATTTTAAAACATACATTAAGTAATTCTTCACTTATAGTCACCCTGCTGTGCTATCAAACACTAGAATTTGTTTCTTCTCTCTAATTTTATGTTTGCAACCATTAACCAACTGCTCTTCAATCTCCCATGCCTCCCTTCTCAGCCTATTGTAACCATCATTCTACTCCCTACCTCCATGAGAGATCAATTTTTAAACTACCTCATATGAGTGAAAACACGCAGTATTTGTCTTTCTGTGTCTGGGTTATTTCACTGAACATAATGATGACCTCCAGCTCCATCCACGTTGCTGCAAAAGATAGAATTGTATTATTTTTAATGGCTGAATAGTATTCCACTGTGTATGTATACCACATTGTCTTTATGCATTTATCTGTTGATGGACACTTGTTGATTATATATCTGGTGATTATGTATAGTGCTATAGTAAGTTTGAGGGTCTAGGTATTCCTTGGATATACTTATTTCCTTTCCTTTGGATAAATACTCAGTGGTGAGATTGCTAGATCATATGGTAGTTCTATTTTTAGTTTTTTAGAAGAAACATCCATACTGTTTTTCATAATGACTGTACCAATTTGTATCACCACCATCGGTATCTGCATCTTTTGTATCCACATGCTCCCAGCATTTATTACAGTTTTTCTTTTTTGATAATAGTCATTCTAACTGGGGTAGATGATATTACATTGTGGTTTTGATATACATTTCCATGATGACTGGTGATGCTGAGTATGTTTTATAAGGCCATTAGTATATACTATTTTGAGAAATGTCTATGCAGATACTTTTCTGACTTTTTAGTGGAATTTTTTTTATTTTTGTTTGTTTGCCTGTTTCAGTACCTTATATTCTTGCATATCTGGATGTTAGTCACTTGTCAGATAGTTTGTAAAGATTTTCTCCCATTCTAAAGGTTGCCTCTTTATGCTATTGATTGTTTTCTTTGCTGTGCAGAAGCTTTTAAATTTAATGTAACCCCATTTTTTTCATTCTTGTTTTGGTTACCTTGCTTTATAGGTCTTATCCATAAAATATTTGCTGACAACAATGTCTTAAAGCATTCCCACCACATATTCTTCTAGTAATTTTATAGTTTAAGTCTTAAATGTAAGGATTTAATCCATAGTGTGCTATTTTTTTGTATGTGGTGAAATATAGGGGTTTCATTTCATTCTTCTAAATACAGATATTCAGTTTTCCCATTACCATTTATTGAAGATTTTTTTTCACTAATGTGTGTTCTTTCTCTAATGTATGTTCTTAGTGTCTTTGTCAAAAATTAATGGGCTATAAATATGTATATTTATTTCTGGGTTCTTTATTCAATTAGTCAATTTCTCTGTTTTTATGCAAGGACAATGCTGTTTTGGTTACTATGGCTTTTAATATATTTTGAGTAAGATAGTGTGATGCTTCCAACCTTGTTCTTTTTTGCTCAGCATTGCTTTAGGTATTTAGGATTTTTGTTATTTCATACAAATTTCTATGAAGAGTTTCACTGCTACATTGATAGAGACCACACTGAATCTGTAGATTACTATAAGTTGTATGGTCATTTAAATTTTCCCCTGAGCAGCCACTGCCATCCTTGTGAATATGCACAGTTGGTACACAGAGTCCTCTGCCCACAAATGATCCACTAACACTACCACTAGTACAAATGCACACACATTTGCTGGAGGGTGCCCCCTGCCTCCCCTGAGCTGTGCTGATACCCCCACTGCTGTGAATGCCAACAGAGGCCAGTACCCTGGCACCTGCTAGCATGCTGCTGCAGCACCCTGCGGTGCTGCTGCTGCTACTGGTGCTGGAATGTGTGAATAAGGAAAGACCCCATCTCCACTGGTCTAGGAAGCACATTGGCTGGCACCACCCATCGGAATGTTGTAACCAGTGGTCCAGGAACACCCTTGGTCCCTCCAGCCCAGCAAGTTCCTAACCTCAAAGAGTAAAAAAACACAAAGCCAAGCCCAATAAATACCCTCGCTAGTCTCCCAGAGTTAGACCACACAGTCCAGGAGTCCTGAGCTGAGCCTTGACTCCTAAAAAGCTTCCAGAAACAAAACCTGTTGATCAAACCCACCTTATATCACAATCAAACCCTCAAGTCAATCAAATAGGATAAAATAATTTTAAAAGTCCATAGGACAACCATTTCAAAGACTGAAGAAATATCAGCCCACAAGTATGAGAAAAAAAGTTCAAGAACTCTGACAACTCAAAAAGCCAGAATGCATTCTTTCTTCCAAATGACTGCGCTAGGTCTCCTGCAAGTGTTCTTAACCAGTCTGAGAGGACTGAAATGACAGAAATAGAATTCAGAATATAGATAGGAATGAAGATCATTGAGATTCAGGAGAATGTTGAAACCCAATCCAAGGAAGCTAAGAAAGACAGTAAAATGACACAGGAGCTGACAGACAAAATAGCCATTATAGCAAAGTACATAACTGAATTAATAGAGCTATAGGAAATACTACAAGGATTTTATAATGCAATCACAAGTATTAACAGCAGAATAAACCAAGCTGAGTAAACAATCTCAGAGCTTGAGGACTGGTTTTCGGACACAAGACAGTAAGAAAGGAATAAGGAATAAAAAAGTATGAAAAAGAATAAATACAACTTCCAAGAAATATTGGACTATATAAAGAGACCAGATCTATGATTCATTGGCATCCCTGAAAGAGATGAGGAGAATGGAAGCAGCTTGGAAAACGTATTTCAGGATATCACCCATGAGAACTTCTCTAACCTAGCTAAAGAAGCCCACATTCAAATTCAGAAAATTCAGAGAATCCTCACAAGACACCTTTAGAAAAAGATAATCCTCAAGGCACATAATCATCAATTTCTCCAAAATCGATATGAAAGAAAAAGTGTTAAAGGCAGCTAGAGAGAAAGGACAGATCACCTACAGATGGAAGCTCATCAGACTCACAGGAATCTTTCAGCAGTTCATCCTACTTGAAGATGGAGGTTGGGAAGAGGGAGAAGATCAGAAAAAATTACTATTGTGTACTAGGCTTAGTACCTAGAGGATGAAATATTCTGTACAACAATTCTATGACATGAATTTACCTATATAAAAAACTTGAACATATACCCCTGAACCTAAAATAAAAGTTAAAAATTCTTTTTTCTGATTCACGAGCATGTGATGTCTTTCCATTTGTTTGCATCCACTTCAGTTTATTTCATCAGAGTTTTTTTGTTTTCATTGTCAATGTCTTTTCTTTCCTTGGTCATATTTATTCCTAGATTTTTTTTAATCTCCTGTAAATGGCATTGCTTTCTTTCATATTGTTCACCATTGCCATATATAAATGCTAAGTTTTGTGTGGTGATTTTGTATGCTGCGACTTTACTAAATTTGTTTATCATTTACAACAGTGTTTTTGGTGGAGTCTTTAGTGTTTTTAAAGTAGTGGATCATGTTGCCTGTGCACAAGGCTAATTTGGCATCTTCTTTTCTAATGTGGATGTTCTTAATTTTTTTATCTTGACTAATTGCTTAGACCAGGACTTCCAGTACTGTGCTGAATAGTAGTGGAAAAAGTGGGCATGCTTGTCTTGTTCCAGATCCCGGTGGAAAGGTCTTCAATTTATTTCTCATTGAGTTTGATTTTAGCTGTGAGTTTTTCATCTATGGTTGTTATTATGTTGAGGTTGGCTCCCTATAAATCCAGTTTGTTTGGGGCATTTAATCATAAATGTATGTGGAATTTTATTAAATTTCAATAAATTTTAAATACAGTCAACATTTATTGTGTGTATCTTAAATATATTCAATATTTTCTTGCATGTATTTCAATGATCATAAAGCTTTTGTTCTTGGTTTGTTAATATGATGTACTATGTTTATTGATTTGAATATGTTGAACCTCCTTACATTCCTGGGATGACTCCCACATGATTATGGTGAATGATCTTTATAATGTGTTGTTAACTTTGGTTTGTCAGTATTTGTTGAGGAACTTTGCATTTATGTTTATCAGTGATATTGGCCTGTAGTTTTTGTTGTTGTTATTGTTGTGTCTTGTTTAGTTTTGGCATCAGATAATCTTGGCCTTATAAGAATAAATTTGGAAATATTATGTTCTCAATTGTTTTAAACAGTTTCAGTAGATTGGTGGTGCTTTTTAAAATATTTTGTAGAATTCAGTAGTGAAGCCATCATATTCTGGGCTTTCCTTTGATGAAAACTTTTTATTTCAACTTCCATCTTGTTACTCATTATTAGCTTATTGAGGTTTTCTATTTCTTTATGTTTCAATCCCAGCAGACTGTATGTTTCCATAAATTTATGGATTTCTTCTAAGTTTTCAATTTGTTGCCATGTAGTTGTTTATAATAGTTTTTAATGATTATTCAAATTTTTGAGGTCTCAATTGTTACATCTCCTTTCTCATTCCTGATTTCATTTATTTGTGTCTACTCTCATTTCTTCTTAGTCTAGCTAAAGGTGTGTTGATTTTATCTTTTTAAAAAGTCAACCTTTGTGGTATTTATTTTTTGTATTTTTTGACTTAATTCAATGTATTTCTGCCCAGATCTTTATTATTTCATTTCTTCTACTAATTTTACATTTTGTTTCTCTTGCTTTTCTAGTTCTTGAGGTACATCATTAGAGTTTTCTTTGAAGTCTTTCTACTCTTTTGATATAGGCATTTATTACTGTAAACTTCCCTCTTAATACTGCTTTTGCTGTATCCCATAGATTCAATATGTTGCATTTCCATTTTCATTTATTTCAACAATATTTTAAATTTCCTTCTTAATTTCCTTATTACTTTGTCATTCAGGAGCATGTTGTTTAATTTTCATGTGTTTGGGTATCTTCCAAGGTTACGCTTGTTATTGATTTCTAGTTTTATTTCATTGTTGTCTGAAAAGATAATTTATAAGATTTCTACTTTTTGAATTTGTTGAGACTTCCCTTATGGCCTAAAATATGGTCTATTCTGGAGAATGTTTCTTGTGTGGATTTAAAAAAAATGTGTATTCTGTCATACTTGGCTGTAATGTTCTGTGAATGTCAGGCCTATTTGGTTTAGTGTGTAGTTTAATTCCCATGTTTCTTCATTGATTTTCTAACTGGATGATCTGTTTATTACTGAGAGTGGGGTGTTGAAGTCTCCTACTATTATTGTATTGCAGTCTATCTTTCCCTTTGGATCTATTCATGTTTGTGTTTGCTTTATATACCTGGGAGCTTCATTTGAATGCATAGGTATTTATTATTGTTACATCCTCTTGCTTAACTGACCCCTATATCAACATATAGTGACCTCATTTGTTTCATTTTACAGTATTTGATCTGTAATTTATTTTATGTGTTACAAGTATGGCTACTCTTGCTCTTTTTTTGGTTTTCAGGTGAATGGAATAACTTTCTACACCCCTTTACTTTCAGTCTGTATGTGTCTTTATAGACAAAGTGGTTTTCTTATAGGCAGCATATGATAGGGTCTTGCTTCTTTATATATTCAGCAACTCTGCCTCTCAACTGGAGAACTGAGTCCATTTACATTCAGTGTTATTATTGATAAGAAAGGACATACTACTGCCATTTTGTTGCTGATTTTCTAGTTGTTTTTGTAATTTGTCTCTTTTTCTCCTTTTCTTACTGTCTTCCTTTGTGGGTAAGTGATTTTCTCTAGTAGTACATTTTAATTTATTGCTTTTTATTTTTAGTGAATCTATTTTATGTTTTTTGCATTTTGATTACCATAAAGCTTACAAAACCATTGTGTGTGTGTATGTGTATATATATATATATATATATATATATACATATATATAAAAAACAAGTTATTTTAAAGAAATGAAAAATTATCTTTGATAACAAAGAAAATACTAGGAACAAATAAACAATGAAATGAAAAGTAAAAATTGTACCCTTAAACTTCATTACCTCAAATATTGTCTCAATTTATATATTTTTTATCACCTATCTCTTAACAAGTTTCTATAAATATTATAGTTTTAGATAGATTTGTCTTAATGGCTTTATAATATATTTATGAGTGGATTGAACACCAAAATTACAACAGTAATTCTGTGTTTAATTTTGTACTTAATTTTACCAGTGGATTTTA
Source organism: Homo sapiens (assembly GCF_000001405.40). NCBI lineage: Eukaryota > Metazoa > Chordata > Mammalia > Primates > Hominidae > Homo > Homo sapiens. Next base: position 30,493,547 of record NC_000009.12, on the reverse strand, counting down.
TACCTAGAATTGTTTACTTTTTGCATGTTAGTGTCTTTTTCTTTTTTTTTCACTTTGTACATATTTATTTATTTTATTATTATTATTATTATACTTTAAGTTTTAGGGTACATGTGCACAACGTGCAGGTTTGTTACATATGTATACATGTGCCATGTTGGTGTGCTGCACCCATTAACTCGTCATTTAGCATTAGGTATATCTCCTAATGCTATCCCTCCCCCCTCCGCCAACGCCACAACAGTCCCTGGTGTGTGATGTTCCTCTTCCTGTGTCCATGTGTTCTCATTGTTCAGTTCCCACCTATGAGTGAGAACATGTGGTGTTTGGTTTTTTGTCCTTGCGATAGTTTGCTGAGAATGATGGTTTCCAGCTTCATCCATGTCCCTACAAAGGACATGAACTCATCCTTTTTTATGGCTGCATGGTATTCCATGATGTATATGTGCCACATTTTCTTAATCGAGTCTGTCATTGTTAGACATTTGGGTTGGTTCCAAGTCTTCGCTATTGTGAATAGTGCCACAATAAACATACGTGTGCATGTGTCTTTATAGCAGCATGATTTATAATCCTTTGGGTATATACCCAGTAATGGGATGGCTGGGTCAAATGGTATTTCTAGTTCTAGATCCCTGAGGAATCACCACACCGACTTCCACAATGGTTGAACTAGTTTACAGTCCCACCAACATAATTTTTCAGTGTGAGTAATTATATATTCCAGAGACAAAGTTGAAAACATTTTAAGACAGAGTTTTGCCATTATATTCATTACTACTTTAAAAGTGTTGTTGACTCCAGAAATATAAACATGTGTTATTCTATGTAGCTTTCTCAGTTCAATGATGTTAAGGTTCTAAAAATGAAAAGCCTTAGTAGTATTTAAACATTTGTAAACCTATATTTTTGTGTCAAACATTAAGAAATAAAAACTTCAAGAAAAGATAATTAACTTGAAAGCATATAGTCAAAGTAACAATCAATAAGTGAAAATTCTCTTATGTATTGGGTTAAGTATAAAATGTTAACTACTTGATATTTGAGAATAATGATTACTAGTAAAAATATATTTTATTTTCTGATAAAATCTTAGAATTCTCTGAATGTAGTACAGAAAATATAGGTTATTTTTTTCTAGGAAAATAATCACTTTATATAAAAATTACTAGGTGGGAAATTTTTCTTTAAACTTTTAAATTCTTTTATATTTTTCTTATTAAAGTAATGAGTCTATGTTTTTCTTAATTCTCACATTATATATATGACTCATAGTATAACTGAAAACAAGTTGCCCTTACATTTTTGTGCAATGCATATTACACAATACTTTATCAGTATATAGTATTTGAATAATAATATTTAGATAATTTTTGGTATACTTATATTTTGCTCTTTCTATCAAATATATTATCACATTTCAATAATCACACATAATTCTATGGTCCTGGAACAAATTCCTATTTAGAAAATAAAAAAAAACAAAAATCTGTAACTGATCATTAGAAACTTATGGCACAGTATCACTGATCTCTTTTCTTAACATGATAAGACATATCATAATGAAAAAATTGAGAAAAGTGAAAAAATTAATTTTCTGCAATGAAACTTTGATGTAGTAATAGAACCTTTATTTGCTTACTTTTCTTGATATCCCAAATGCTCTACACAGACACCATTGTAGTTAAGAAAAGACTCTGGGTAAACTAATTTTGTTATATATGAAAATACTGTTAGTTTTATTTCAAAAATTATCCAAAAACAAATAAATATGAATTATGACTTGAGGTACAAGCAATCAAGTATTTTCTCCTCTGTACATGTGTAATATTTTATTTATAATTTTAAAATAGCACTTTATTTGTTTCATTGTGGATTGATTAGTTAACATATCTCCTTTGCTAGGTTGTATATAACTCCAGCACATACTCAATTTAAAAAATTATTTTTGGCCGGGCGCGGTGGCTCACGCCTGTAATCCCAGCACTTTGGGAGGCCGAGGCGGGCGGATCACGAGGTCGGGAGATCGAGACCATCCCGGCTAAAACGGTGAAACCCCGTCTCTACTAAAAATACAAAAAATTAGCCGGGCGTAGTGGCGGGCGCCTGTGGTCCCAGCTACTTGGGAGGCTGAGGCAGGAGAATGGCGTGAACCCGGGAGGCGGAGCTTGCAGTGAGCCGAGATCCCGCCACTGCACTCCAGCCTGGGCGACAGAGCGAGACTCCGTCTCAAAAAAAAAAAAAAAAAAAAAATTATTTTTGTCTTTTTATACAAAGCATTGATTCATTAAATGTTAATTTATGAAACATAGCATAATTTTGGTAATCTCACTTTGTCATTTTTAAAATGTCCAAATCTAAGAGGACGCTCCAATATTATTTTCTTTTTACACATTTAAATATTTAAGGTAATTATTATTGCAATATTTTCAATTATACATTCTCAATACTTCATAGTTTTTCATGCAAATCAAGCAATTAAGATCAATTATAGGAGCTGCTATCTAATAGTAGGCTATAAAAATGAGATGCATTAACAATTTTTTTAAATGAAATGTACTCATGATTTAATGCCATGAAAAGTTTAATTACATAACTCTTATTAACTTTCACAAAACACTGTGTTCATTTTACACATAACCAACAGTTATGTTTTGCCTTCACACTGTTCAGAGGCAATTCTAAATGGAGTGCTGCACTCCATGTATTAACTTTTTTTTAAAACTACCTATTCAAATAAGTTTTTGTGTATGCCTGCTGTATTGATATCCTGTCATTATTTTGAATTGAAAGAGAAAGGGAACTTTTTATTAGTGATAAGGGTATATTCACTAATCTCTCAGTGATCCTATCTCTGTATATCATTCTATCTAGGTAAATCCTAGAGATGATACAAGACTTAAATCCCTAATTCAGGTGAGATGTCTAGGACCAATACCCTGTGTGTCTCCTGTCTTTTTTGTACCTGCCTCTTCAATACCTTCTTCGGTATGACTAAAGAGAGAGATAAATTATACTCCGATTATCTAGGACATAAACCGAGAAGAGCACTTTTCTAGGTAGCCTCTGTTCCCCAGACCATAAGAACCATAATTCGTTGAAACTTTGGAAACAACAAACGTATGTTTTTGGGACCAATAGTGAGGAAAGAATCCAGACCTCTGGAGTGTTCCTAGTTTGATCTCTTTATTACCACCTGCCCACACCACCACACAGAATTTATTTATAAAGTCTGGGATATAATCCTAAGCAAATAACACAGAAACAGAAATCAAATACCATGTGTTCTCACTTATAAGTGGAAGCTAAACATTGAGCACACGTGTGTATAAACATGGGGACAATAGATAATCTGTACTACTGGAGTGGAGAGGGAAGGAGGGGGACATGGGTTGAAAAGCTACCTATTGAGTAGTTAATTTTTTCTCCATTAACAGTCTAAATATGTTATTTTTAACTCCTCTAATAGAAGGTAAACTTCAGGAAATTAGAGAGTTTTGCATTTTGTGTTTACGACTTTGTCTAGAGCAAGGCTTTAGAGATAGTAGATAACAAATAAGTGATTATTAATGAACAATTAATTAATTAATTAAAGGGTACATTTTATATTAGAAGCCGATATCCTCATTTCTGATTAAAACAATGTGTATTTTTATACCTTTTTTTTCTATTGTCACTCCTTTCTGATTTCTTAGAGACTTACGGGCCCCTAAAGCCTTCCAATTTTCTCTCAGGCTCTAATACCTACTTTGCTATCTTTAATTCTATCTACTTGATCATTCTGTTATCAGCATTTTCAGTTGTTTTATACCTATACACATTTCCTGTACCTGCCCTGCAAATTTCAAGTTCAGGATTCATCCTTCAATTTGCCCTAAATAACTTTAGAATTGGATCTGTAAATCTGAGGGACCAAAACCCAAATCATTTCAGTACACAAATTATGACCCAAACTCAGGCATGAACAATGGCACAAGGGGAACTATTGGACAGGACCCCAATACTGCACGCAGATATGCACATACAACTCAACTTCATGAGGATTGAGTGTGGTGACTGAAAATGGTGTCTCTTAAGGGCATGATAAAAAGACTAAGGCACAGAAAGTTAGCTGTATTCCTCACCCTATCATTCTAATATGTTCTTGGGGATGGATGAAGGTGATGCATTTAATCTGTCACTTTCCATTGCCCAGTGCTCCATTTCTGGTCTGCCTTTGAATAACTTTGATTAAATCAAACTTTGGGATTTGAAGCTTAATAAAAGAAGATGGCAATAGTTAAAATTCCTTGGCTCGGAAAAGACCTTGGAGCACTATCTGAAAGGGTCACTAAAACATGCTCTATTTTCCCTACTGTGAGCAGCTTGCACCCTTGCAGATAAACTCCACAAAAAAGGAAAGATTTGTACAGATAAAAATGTACTAAATGATATATTTATATCCAAAATATAGAAGTTATATAAATGTAAAATATTTTTTATTTTTTCTTACCGTATTTATCCTCATTATGTAGAACTCAGTCATGAATAATTGGATTAATTACAATTCTTGATGAATTCCACACTTTTATATTTATGTAATTTTATTTAAATAATATGATAATGTTTATTTGACAAGAATTCCTAAGATGCTTACATTCCATGAGGCAAAATTCCAAGTGTTTTACAAATAATATGTCATTAAACCCTCAAAATAATACCAGAGGAAGATACTGCTATTATCCATATTTTTTTAGAAAGGAAACTCAAGTTAGATGAATGAACTTCCTGGGAATGTAGAGTTAGCATAAACATAGGGTGTAAACCTGGGTAGTGAGGTTCCTGAGTATAATTTTTAAATTAACATGTTGTTTCTGAAAGATGGTATATTAAATGCTTTCTTACCTAATAACTAAGATATTATAAATAACTTATCATGTGCTCCTTTATTTTCCCCATATCCTTGTCTCTTCCCAGGACAAACTGCTATCCATAATTTGGTATTTATTATAAACTTCTTTTTAAAACACATACATGCACACACATTCACACCGTGATCTCAAGTTTCTGGCCCCCAGAACTTTTAGACATGAACGTTCTGTATTTTAAGGCACTTAGTTTGTGGTGCTTTATCATGAAACCCTAGCAAACTAATATAGGAATGAGGTAATAATAAACATCTGTTGGTCTTGTTTCTATGTCCAGTTGCATCTATCTTTCTAATCTGTCAAATTGTAATTCCCCGATTTCTCTGTTGATTTTATAATGCTTTGAATCTATTAAACCCTAGCGTTCTTCTATCAACCTTGGGGATTTGACAATTTTAGTGTACTACTTGTTTTTGCTAAACTATTTCTTTTGCAAATCAAACTGAACATGAGCTTTTAGAGGCTTCATTATTCTGTTATTTTTAATACTCATTTTCTACTCTTAGGTACATTCAATTTTTTCCTATGCTCATAGATCACAGCTGCTTAATCATTTGAAAGTATTTTCTCTCATATGACCAGTAATTTTAAACATCGATTACTATAATTTAAATTGTTAAATGTGTAGTAACCTGCCATTTGATTACAGCATTTATAAATGGAGCAGGTCTTGTCATTTGGGGAAGCTGGAGTTAATTCTTCCTGTAACAGACTTGTTTAAGTCAGACTACTTGTAATACTTGGGAGAAATAAAGGGAGGTAAATGCAAAGTCCGTTCAGAATTATTGATGCAAATTTCTACACCAAGACATAGTTATTTCTTATTTAATATCATCTACCTTTTTCATTCTTTTAGTCAGCCAATAATGGTTTGTACACAGAACCAAAACGGGGCTGTGAATATAATTGTTTGGGGCCTAGATTCTGAATCAAATACAATAGAGTGGACCCTTGGTTCCAATGTTCATTGTTTAGAAGCCTAGGGCAGTTTCTTCAAAAATAAAATGAGGATTATGATAAAAACTACCACCTATCTCATGTAGGAAGTACCACAAATTTAAATCTTCCTATGTATGTAGCCCTTAAAATAGTGTCTGGAACATGGTAAGCACTATATAAATGCTCTCTAGCATTCTAAATACACTGGAATTTGTAAAATGTATTGATTTTCTAGTTCTTTATGATTCCACTGCCTTCCCCATGCAAAATAACCTCTACAGCTATGATACATTTATAAAAGCCCAACCTTATTGCTGAGGTCTTCAAAGAAACCTTCATTTCTGGAACTATAGATTCAGTTTAAATCTTACCTCCAAGTGGTGACCTAGAATGTTTATTAAAGTAGTTACCTATATTTAGTGCCTGTATTTATTTATGACCATGCACTCAAGTTTGCTTTCCAAGCCTATTATTCTTCTGATTCGAAGCCTATTATTCTTCTGATACTAATTTCATGAAGGCCATCAAAGTTTCCTCTTAAGTGCTTCATATTGTTGATCATTCACCCTCAAAACACATTCTTCTCTTCCACTGACTTCTATAATACTACTCTTGTGAGTTGTGTTCTACCTATCTGGATGCTAATGTGTGTTTTTAGCCACATCTTAAATAGTGGTATTTCTGAGGATTCTATTTTAGTCAATTTAAGGATTAATCTATATGCTCTCTTCGGGTTATTTAATGCACTTACCTGTTTATAACTTTATATCTTCTTCCCAATCCATTATCTCTCTCTCATGAGCAGTACCCTGAAATCCAGTTGCTTAATGGATATATTTATGAACCACAGACTTCTTAAATTGAACGTATTCGAAGCTGAACTCATAAAATTTCCCCATATACTTGAACTTTTTCATGCAATCCTATTTCAGTAAATGAAAATAATATAAGTCTAGCTGTATATAGCAGAATCCTAGAAATGACCTTAAATTCCTCACATCATATTCTCTTCTTCTATATCACTAATGATTAATATTAGAAGAAAATAATTTTTTAATTTTTATAAATGTGAATTCTCTATATATTTCTATATTTGTCAATGCATAAATGACAATAAAATGTCAGAATCATGTGTTTCCCTATTAAGATTTATACATAAAAAGTACACATAGATAGATGAAATTAAATATAATTAGATAATATAATTATGTTACCTTTATGTATCATAATTTTGGTGAGTAATTTATCCCTTATTACAAACAAAAAAACAAAGTTATGTCATTAAAAATAATATTCTATAATGAACATTCTACAAGTTTTTTTCTAAAAAAATTAGCAGTATTTAATATTAACAAGTAAGCTTATATGAGTAAAACTCAACCTGAAAAAGAAAAATACTGACTATGAAATAAACAATACAAAACCTGCAGAAATGTGAAAAACACAGAATAATAATAGTACTAATGATAATGTGAATAATTACTGGAGATTAAAAAGTATGTAGTTAGGTTAAGTCAGTTCATCAAAAACTAAGTAGTTCTCTATCCAAAGAGTAGGTTCATGAAGATCAGAATAAAAATAATTAACATTCAGTAAGTCGGAAGAGAAGCTATTCTTCAAAATATGAAGAGAAGGCAGTACATTAAATGTAAAAAATTATGAAATATTTATAAATGCTTACATCATTTGAGGCTCTTTGTGGAATCTAACAAACAATATGGAAACAGAACATTTCCCAGGACCTTTACAATCTTGAGCTATGTAAGTGGCCACCTACATGATATTATCAGTTTCTAAGTATATCTTCAGCTTCCAGGCACCCAATACTGGTCAAAGTACGTAATAATTGCACTTACAAATATATATCCTATGCCATCAAACTTTTAAAGTGAAATTTTTAAGAAATAAAAGGCTGTTTTTTTTCTTTAGGTGTATGATAAAAATAGATTCAAAGGACCGATTTTAAATCTATATAAAAATAGAAAACAAATGATGGTGGAAGAAGACAAGGTAGAGTAAAGAGGAACATCAACAAATGGAAAGATTGCAAAGGGCATTAAATATGGTGGTGGGAAGAAGAAAATGTAGCAGGGCAGCTTTAATCAATCAGGCCAAATTTTAATGAAAAATTAATATTAAGCAATGTCTTTAATTTTAGTTCTAAGTGTTGCTTATGACAAAAGAGAAAATAGTATTGATAAATGTTTATGCAAGTATAAAACATCTATGAAAGTGTTATTTTCTCTACTTCATTGACTTTTTCAAAGTGAAGACTGTCATAAAGTATATCAGAAATAAAATCTTAATGATTATTACAAAACATTTTCTGTAGTTCTGGGAGACAATAAAATATATTTTGGAAATTATTACTAAGTTATTTTGGCATAAAATATTTTAAAATTAGACTTTTCATTGTATAAAATAAAGAAGAAATATAACCTCACAAATTATAAGGACTTCAAACTCTAGATTTCAAGTTCTCTGTTAAAAAATTTTACTACCAATAACCTGAAAGATAATACCAAGTGAAGTATGCATGTACAATTAACTGACAATTGACAATAGTGCCAAGTATACACCGTAGGGAAAGTATAATCTACTCAAGAAATGGCATCAAGAAAACAGGATAGCCACTTGCCAAAATGTTTATTAGATTTCTACCTTACAGCATACACAAAAATCAACACAAAATGGATTTAAAACCTAAATGTGAGAACTGAAACTGTAAAACACCTAGAAAAAAAAAAAAAACTTCATGACATTACTCTTGGCAATGATTTCTTGGAGATGTCACCCAAAGCACAGGAAACAAAAGCGAAAATAGACAAATGAGAATTCACCAAACTGAAAAGCTTCCGCACAGCAAAGGAAATGATTAACAGAGTGATCAGGAAACCTACAGAATAGCAATAAATATTTGCAAAACATGTACTTTATGAAGGGTTAATTTCCAAAATAAATAAGGAAGTTTTATAAATTAGTATTTAGAAAAAGAAACAATCTTTACAACAAACTCCCATAACACAAGTTTATATAATAAACCTGCACATGTAAACCTGAAACTAAAATAAATTTTAAGAAAAAAAATAGGCAAAAAACTTGAATAGATGGTTTTTTCAAAGACAATATACAAATGGCTACATAGTATTTCATGGTGTATATGTGCCACTTTTTTTTATGCAGTCCACCACTGATGAACGTTTAGGTTGATTCCATGTCTTTGCTATTGTCAATAGGGCTGCAATAAACATATGCCTGCATGTGTCTTTATGGTAGAATGACTTTTATTTCTTTGGGTATATACCCTAATGGGATTGCTGAATCAAATGGTAGTTCTGTTTTTAGCTCTTTTAGAAATAGCTATACTGTTTTCCACAATGGCTGAACTAATCTACACTATCACCAACAGTGTATAAACATTCCTTTTGCTCCCTAAGCTCGCCAGCATCTATTATTGTTTGACGTTTTAATAGCAGCCCATTCTGACTGGTGTGATATGGTATGTCAATGTGGCTTTGATTTGCATTTCTCTAATGATCAGTGTTGACCATTTTTTTTCGTATGTTTGTTGCTTGCAAGTATGTCTTTTTGAAGACATACTTGTGGCCAACAAAACTCAATAGCCACTTGCCAAAATGCCAATTGGATTTCTACCTTGCAACATACACAAAAATCAACACAAAATGGATTCAAGACCTAAATGTGAGACTTGAAACTGGAAAACGTCTAGGAAAAGGAAACATAGAGAAAAAACTTCATGACATTGGTCTTGGCAATGATTTCTTGGAGAAGACACCCAAAGCACATGAAACAAAAGCAAAAAAAGACAAAGGAGGTTTGCTGTGCAGATTATTTCTTTTTCTAAATATTGGCTTGTGGAAGTTCCTTATTTATTTTGGAAATTAACCCTTTATGAAATATGTTTTTCAAATATTTGTTGTTATTTCAAAAGAAGACATACTTGTGAGCAACAAACATGTGAAAGAAATGGTCAACAACACTGATCTGTTCATGTCCTTTGCCCACTTTTTAATGAAGTTACTTGTTTTTTTCTTGTAAATTTGATTAAGTTTCTTATAGCTGCTGGATATTAGATCTTTATCAAATGCATAGTTTATAAATATTTTTCCCGTTCTTTAAGTCATCTGTTTAGTTTTTTTTTCTTTTTTGCTATGCAGAAATTCTTTAATTAGATTTCGTTTATTAATGTTTGCTTTTGCTGCAATTGCTTTTCGTGTTTTCACCATAAAATTTTTGCCCATTTGTATTTCCGGAATGGTATTGCCTAGGTTGTCTTCCAGGGTTTACATAGTTTTGAAGCTTACATTTAAGTATTTCACCCATCTTGAGTTGATTTTTGTTATATGGTATAAGAAAGGGGTCCAGTTTCAATCTTCTGTATATGGCTAGGGAGTACATTCTACATTGCTTGTTTTGTCAAATTTGTCAAAGATCACATGGTTGTAGGTCTATGGCCTTATTCCTAGGTTCTCTATTCTGTTTCACTGGTGTATGTGTCTTTTTATATACCAGTAACATGATGTTTTACTTACTGTAGCCCTGTAGCATAGTATGAAGTCAGGTAGCATGATGCCTCCAGCTTTGTTATTTTTGCTTAGGATTGCCTTAGCTAAACGGGCTCTTACTGGTTCCATATGAATTCTAAAATCGTTTTTTCTAGTTTTGTGAAGAATATTGTTGGTAGTTTGATAGAAATACCATTCAATCTATAAATCGGTTTAGGTAGGATTGCCATTTTAATTATGTTGATTCTTCCTATCCATGAGTATGGAATGTTGTTCTATTTGTTCGTGTCAACTCTTATTTCTTGGAGAAATGTTTGGTAGTTCTCCCTCAAGAGATCTTTCACCTCTCTGGTTGACTGTATTCCTAGGTAGTTTATTCTTTTTTTGTGGCACTTGTAAATGGAAATGTGCTCCTGATTTGACTTTTGGCTTGACTGTTGTTTGTGTATAGGAATGCCAGTGGTTTTTGTATGTTGATTTTGTAACCTGAGATTGCACTGACGTTGTTTATCGACAAAGAAGCTTTTGCGCTGAGACTATTGGGTTTTCTAAATATAGAATCATATCTGCAAACAAGGATATTTTGACTTCTTCTCTTGCTATTTAGATGCCATTTACTTCTTTCTCTTACTTAATTACTCTGGCCAGGAGTTCCAATAGTATGTTGAATAGTACTGTTGAAAGAGAGCATGTTCATCTTGTGCCAGTTATCAGGGGAAATGATTTCAGCTGTTGCTCATTTAGTATATGACTCTTATTATTTTGAGGTATATTTCAATATCTAATTTATTGAGAATTTTTAATATGAAGGTGAGTTAAATTTTATCAAAAGCCTTTTCTGCATTAACTGAGATAATCATAGTTCTTGTCTTTAGTTCTGTTTATATGATGAGTCACATTTATTGATATGGGTATGTTGAACCAACCTTGCATCACAGGCATAAAGTCTAATCAATTGTGTTGTATAAGCTTTTTCGTGTTCTGCTGGATTTGGTTTCTTGGTATTTTGTTGAGATTTTTTGCATTGATGTTCATCAAAGATATTGGCCTGAAGTTTTCTCTCTTTGAGTGTGTGTGTTTCTCTGCCACATATTGGTATCAGGAAGATGCTGGTCTCACAGGATAAGTTAGGGAGGAAACTCTTCTCAATTTTTTCGGATAGTTTCGGTAGGAATGGTACCAGCTTGTCTTTGTATATCTGCTAGAATTCGACTGTGAATCTGTCTGGACTGGGGCCTTTTTTGGTTGGTAGGCTATTTATTAGTGATTCAATTTTAGAGCTCATTATTGGTCCACTTAGGGGTTCATTTTTTTTCCTGATGGAGTCTTAAGAGGGTGTATTTGTCCAGGAATTCATCCATTTTTTCTGGATTTTCTTTTTTGTGTGCACGGAGGTGTTTAAATTATTCTCTGATGGTTGTTTGTATTTCTGTGTTGTCAGTAGTAATGTCCTCTTTGTCATCTATAATTGTGTTCATTTGGATCTTCTTTCTTTTATTCTTTATGAGTCTAGCTAGCAGTTTATTTTATTAATTTTTTCAAGAACAAACTCCTGGATTCATTCATCGTTTTGATGATTTTTTTGGGTCTCAATCTCCTTCAGTTAAGCTTTGATTTTGGTTATTTCTTGTCTTCTGCTAGCTTTGGTATTGGTTTGGCTACTGCTTTTCTAGTTCTTTTACTTGTGATTTAGGTTGTTAAATTGAGATTATATCCTTTGCAGGAACATGGATGGAGCTGGAGGCCATTCTACTTAGTAAACTAATGCAGAAACAGAAAAGTAAACACTGCATGTTCTTACTTATAAGTGGGAGCTACATCATGAGAACACATGGACACATAGAGGGGAACTGTAGACACTGGGACCTAATTGAGAGTGGAGGCTGGGAGGAGAGAGAGAATCAGGAAAAATCATCAATGGTTACTGTACTTAATACTTGGGTGATGAAATAATCTGTACAACAAGCCCTCATGACACAAGTTTACCTATATAACAAAACTGCATATGCACCCCTCAGCTTATAATAAAAGATAAAAATTAAACAAACAAACCCCAAAATACACTAATTGCCAAAAAGTATATGAAAAGGTGTTCAACATCACTAATTATCAAGAAAATGCAAATCAAAACCAAAGTTATATATGACCTCATGCCTTTAAGGATGGCTATTATATACGTATATAACAAAAACAAACAAAAATATGTGTTTGGCCAGGATGTGGAGAAGTAGAAACTCTTGTACGCTGATGGGAATATAAAAATATGCCTGGTATATTTCCATTATGGAAAACCACATAGAGATTCAAAAAAAAAAAAAACAACCTCCAGATGATACAGCAATCCTATATATGAGTATTTGTCCAAAATAATTAAAATCAAGATCTCATGTATTTTTTGATCTTGTTTGACTTTCTCATTGTGATGGAGACTCTATTTGAGCAGCTTCTTAAGAGAGAGGCTATATAAGAGCAGTTAATTCTTCAGAACTCAAATGTTTGATAACTTCTTTAATCTACTCTGACAATTGATTGGATGTTTGTCTGGGTATAGAGTTCTAGGTTAGAAAACATATTTCATGATAACTTCTAAGGCATTAGTCCAATGACTGCTGTCTTCTAATTCATTGTTACTAAGGATTTTAGTGTTAAGGATGGGCACAGTGGCTCACACTTTAATCCCAGCACTTTGGGAGGCCGAGGTGGGCAGATCACAAGGTCGGGAGTTCGAGATCAGCCGGGCCAATATGGTGAAACCCTGTCTCTACTAAAAATACAAAAATTAGCTGGACGTGGTGGCAGGTGCCTGTAGTCCCAGCTACTTGGGAGGCTGAGGCAGAAGAATGGCTTGAACCTGGGAGGCGGAGATTGCAGTGAGCCGAGATTGTGCCACTGCACTCTAATCTGGGCGACAGAGAGAGAGACTCCACCTCAAAAAAAAAAAATAATAATGTTAAAATCATTCACCACCTCACACTCTTTACCACTCTCCTCCCTCAGTCAGTTGTACAAACATCTCACTGATATTCTCTTTTTCTGTTCCTAGTATTTTAAAATGATAACCAAAAGGTTCTCTTTAATCAATGAATTGGGCGCAAGGAAGATTTTTTCATCTGGTAACATTCGTTCTACTTTCAATTTTGGAAAGTTATCTAGAATTATTTTGTTGGTAATTTTCTGTTTTTTTTTCTTTCTATTCTTATTTCTGGAACACTGAGGTTTTGAGGAATTCTTTCATGAAAATAGGCTTGGGTCTCCTTTGCCCCTGAGCTGCTTAGGGGTGTGCTTAATTGGGTGTGCTAGGTTAGTTATTGATGTTATTGATCTATTTCACCTTCCAGTTTTCAAAAGAATACTTCTGCAGCATCCTCTTTTCCCAGCTCCCCCAGTTCAAAAAAATTTATACCTTTCTTTTCTTTTAAGACGTTATAACTGTAGTTTTAATCAATCTTATATGTGATGTTCAAACCAACACTTTATCAGGAATAAGAAATGTACGTCAAAATTTTTTAATTGAACTGCTGGAAATAGTGTTTTAGATATTTCTTCACATTATAATTTTCAGTTAGTTTGGTTTTCTTGTTTTTTTTTTTTTTTGAGACGGAGTCTTGCTCTGTCTCCTAGGCTGGAACGCAGTGGCACGATTTCAGCTCACTGCAACCTCCGCCCTCTGGGTTCAAGCACTTCTCCTGCCTCAGCCCTCAGAGTAGCTGGGATTAAAAGTGTGCACCACCACACCTGGCTAATTTTTGTATTTTTTAGTAGAGATGGGGTTTTGCTATTTTGGCCAGGCTGGTCTCAAACTCTTGACCTCAAGTGATCTGCCTGTCTCGGACTCCCAAAGTGCTGGCATTACAAGCGTGAGCCACTGCTCCCGGCTCCAGTTAGATAATTTGCACTCATTTTTATGTATGACACAGGAAACTATTACTGTTAAAGGAAGGATTATTCTTCCTATAAATTAAGTACCCATTTTCTAATATCATATGACATTACATTCAGCAAACATTTAAAATAATAAATAAATGCAAGGTTTTTTCTTTTGTAGGGTTAGGGTTAGGGCTAGGGCATTCATTCATCTTTAACTTATTTTTTTCCTGAAATTTATGTCATAAAAAATGTAACAACCATATGGTATGTTTAGTTTTGGAAACCAAATCTTTTATTTGTGTTGAAAAACTATCAAAAAGTAAAATAAAATAAATACAACTATCTTGATAGAAAGCAAACTTTTCCAGACTGAAAGACCCAGATTTGGAAATATGGTAGGAAAACATACAGTTAGATCACGTGACTTATCAAAACTCACTCAGGTGGTTGCAAAGATCCTATGATAGAAAACTATCTAACACAGAGCCACATCCTCACAGTTACATGTATTTCATTTTATTCTGAACTTTTTATATTTCTTACATTCAGGAAGACTTAGATGTCTACAGCTTGTGGTCATATAAGAGAAACTTTTATTTTAGCTTGGTATTTCTCAGTCCCCAGTAACTGACTGGTCAAGATTGAAAAATTAATATAGAACTTGTTGAAATCAATGTTATTGATTTTTAATAATTCTGAATCAAGACTTACTATAAAAGCAACTATTAAAACATAACTTAAAGAGGTAAAATAAATATTTTATGAAAGAATAACATCATAATTAATATTTTTTAAATTTATATCAAGAAATAAGTGATAGATGTAACTGGACATCTGCATGAAGAAATTTTCTTATTTCTTATAAATACATGAAGATTTTCTTATTTCAGTGAGGAAACTCGATATTCCTAAGGTATAACATGTATTCTGGAGCAAAGGACCATCTTCAGTTAAACAACATTAGTGTGGTTCATATTAAAAATGAAAATAATATACTATTTGAAAATTGCTTATTATTTTGAAATCATATTTTAAAATTAGTTTTCTCACATAAATTATAAAATAATTCTGTAGGCAAAGTAGGTTAGTCTAATTATCTCCACATGAGGAGAATGTAAGACTGGGGAAAGCCGAGTAATTTGGCCATTAACTTAAGTAATAATCACCAGGGCCTGGACCCAAAAACAGGTACTGTAATTTAAATTTTTTATGCCTGATAGTAGTCACTTTGGGAGTAAAATTTTTAGAAATTATTTATAAGTAAAATCATAATATGTATATGATGGAATAAAAAATATTCATTTTAACTAAAAAATAAGTGGAGATACTCTTTTCTGCCTTTATGCTAGTTCTGTATGTGATTAACATGACTAGACATTTCAAATTTTAGAAGCAGTAACCTCTTAAAGAGGTTGCTGTTTGTTTCTCTCAGTAGGTTATATTTCAAATATGGATATTAAATTAGTCCATTCCAGTGATCATCCTAGCTTCTGCATCACATATAGTTGTGAAAATTTATCTTGGTACTGATTATTCAAACCTGGCATAATTTTGAGGCCATGATATCTGTTATTTCTCTGGAGCCTGAAGTCATTTTTTGGAGGGATTACAATGTATTGCTATAAAAAAGAAAATAAGGGCCGGGCGCCGTGGCTCATGCCTGTAATCCCAGCACTTTGGGAGGCCAAGGCGGGTAGATCACGAGGTCAGGAGATCGAGACCATCCTGGCTAAGATGGTGAAACCCCGTCTCTACTAAAAATACAAAAAAAAAATTAGCCGGGCGTGGTGGCGGGCGCCTGTATACCCAGCTACCCGGGAGGCTGCAGCAGGAGAATGGCCTGAACCCAGGAGGCAGAGCTTGCAGTAAGCCGAGATCCCACCACTGCACTCCAGCCTGGGCGACAGAGCGAGGCTCCCTCTCAAAAAAAAAAAAAAAAAAAGAAAAGAAAAGACAATTTGTCCATGGAGCAGGGGTTGGGGAACTGGTTTCAGGATGATTCAAGTGCCTTACATTTATTGTGCACTTTATTACTATTATCATTACATTGTAACATATAATGAAATAATTATGCAAGTCACCATAATGTAGAATCGGTGGGAGCCTGGAGGTTATTTTCTTGTATCTGGGTGTGATGGGAAACAGTGACAGGCATTAGATTCTCATAAGGAGCAAGGAACCTGTATCTCTCACATGTGCGGTTCATGCCGCTGTGAGAATCTAATGCCTCTGCTGATCTGACAGAAGATGGAGCTCAGGCAGTAATGCTAGTGATGGGAAGCAGCTGTAAATACAGATGAAGCTTTGCTTCCTGCTCACTTGCTGTTCTGTGGCCTGGTTCCTAACAGACCAAGGTACTAGTCCATGGTCTGCGGTTTGGGGAAACCTTGGCCTAGATGATAGCTAGTTGGTATTGATTTTCTCTCCAGAGAACTGCTTTTCCATGTGTCTTTTTATTTTGTAGCCCTAAGAAAACTTAAAAAACTAAAGCTCTTGTTTCTAAACCTGGCTTTCCACATAACCAGTCTTAATCATAAATTGTTTTATCTGTAAGTGAAATTGATATTATTTACTTATAATTAATTTTGAAATCATCAGAAGGTTGAAATATTCTGCACAAATATAAAATACAGGCCTTAAAATCCTCTAAAACCAAAAACAATAATAGCAATAATAGTAGAGTTTTTTAACTATCTAAATAGTTTTCTGTAGGCATCTAAAATTTTTATATAGGCCTAAAGAAAACAAGGCTTTAAAATAAATATAAGCAGTTTTTCCATACACAGCAGAGGCAGAAGCCCTAGAGTTTGTCCTAAAGTAAATGAAGTAAATGTCTGCTGATTATAAAGTAAGAAAGAGCATTCTTACTGAATCCCAAGCACTTTACTACTTTTCTTTAAATCTACTTTTCTACATTTACTTAATGGGTTTCTCATAAATGTTCTTTTAAGATTATGTTGTTTAGAGATATATTTAACATTGTGTCTTGGATACTAAAGGATAAATTTTAAAAAATAGAAAAGTTGTAAAAATGCACCACAGAAACTATTTGACAAAGGATATGTACTGTGCATATCACTGTGGTTTATGAGAACTTTGTTGAATTTCTTTTACAGTAACTAGTTTTTGTCTTCTATTTAAATATTGTCCCACTGTAATTTCAGAACTTTCCCTTCAAAACTTTACAGTAAGTGTTTTTACTTTTTTTCTATAAAATAACTGAGTAATAATACATTGACAGTACACAGCTTTTATTTTATTGTTCTTAATAATAGTAATTTCCAAAAATTCTGAAAAATGCTCTTGTGATTAAAGATTTAAAACGTGTGATAATTTAATAAGAAAAGAGAAATTTTTCTGCATCATCTGAGATAATGTATGTAGCAATTACACTGAAAATACAAAAATGTCATACCATATTAGATGTAATTTATTACTTGATTGATCACATATTATTTTGGTTATCTTTATGTAATATAAGTATATGCCTAGGATACATTCTAAATAATTTATGAATTTCATACTTAAGCATTTTTTTAGCTTTGATGCCTCACCTATGACTTCCGTTAAAGCTCAGCGTTAGATAAGTGGAGACATTCAGTTAGTCTTTAGAAGTGATCCTTGGACACAGGAACAGGGGATTGAGGTCAAAGCAATACAAGAAGGAAAACAATTGTTCTTCACAATTATGGAGAATAAGTCTTGATTATTTCATAACATTACAAGAAGCAATTTTGGATGCAGCTTACAATTTTCTGCCCAGATAATGAAATAGTACAACTTGGATTCAAAGGCAATAGTTACCCCTTAGCAGAGCTAATTGCCTTGCATCTCCAGGTTGCGCTTTTCTAAGCGCAAGTGGATTGTTCCATGTATCCTAAGCCTTTGAATCAGAAAAGCTCTAGAAAAATTCAGATATAATGATGGGTAAGGTGCTTTCATGTTGCATCTATAAATTACTGTGGTTGGAGTAAAAGGTGGAAAAAGATGTGAGGCAGAGTCCAAGGTATGTATTATACAAAGGATGCGTCGTGATGAAAGTCATAGATATGCTGTTAGATGATAGGTTTCTAAGGGATATGAGACCTGTTTTATAAGCTTTGTGACCTAGCAAAGAATTTGCTGCATGCATGTGAATTGTTTCCCAGGCTCTGCTCCCTGTGCTGCTTCTGATTTATGTTTCTGTAGCAGCATTCAGGTTCCCTAGTGAGAGACCTTATGTCTGTCTATTTACTTTAAAACAAGATAAAAGTTACTCTCCATAGCCTGACATTCAACTTGAAAATGTGGTCCTAATCTAGTTTTCCAATCTATTTCCAGCTCCTTCTAAGTCATCTACCTCCCCTATCCTTTACTTTTTCTATGTATTCCAGAAGACCCAACTGAAATCTCACATCCTCCCTTAAATTGACCTATTGCTTACATGTAAAAATAAAAGGCATTAACATGAATGACTTGGATAAATATTTAATTTTGGTATCCTCCTTATGGTGAGTGAGTGAAATTTTGGGTTATTTTAATAAGTGCGGAAGAGAAAGGGAAAAATGTCATTTCTTTTATCCTGCTTCATTATTTTCCCTTCCTAATAGACTCATTACTTTTACTAACTTTCCCCAGATATTTGTAATGTAGATAATGCTTGTTGCTTTCATAATTATTTTTATTCAAAAGAAATTTCGACACATTTTTTAAGTTATTTAAAACCAAAACACATTAATTATATAAATATGCAATACAACGGGGATCTGCAATAATACTTTAGTACCTTTGGTTGAAAAGCATAGCTTTCCATATGCAATTTAGAGAGCCAACATTTTGTGTAGGCTATTTGGTCCTAAATTATGATATATTTCAATCTTATAAATAAAAAAATAAGGTCATAATCTAGCCTGCACCACTATTTAAGGACTTCAGAGTGTTTGCTCCACTGACATGGTATTACACATAATATTGTATTGGATAAGGAGAAAAATATTTATAAAAGAGGTGCAGAATAATTGAATAACCATAAGATCCACTGTTCCTAGCATATAGCATATTACTCAGAAGCTAATAGTCTAATAAAGATACAGAATAGCTCTTTGAAGATGCAATTAAGGTGTCAGCTTGTGAGATAAATACCCTGTAGGAATTGGGCATTATCTTCTAGGAGTTAACATATACTTTAAAGCAATAATACTACGTGCTACTTTTACCTTAGTAGGTTAAACACATAGGTCCAGGAGCCAGTAAAATAAAAATAATATAAAATAAAATAAAAAACAATGTTGCATAATTTACCATCACTGCCATTAAAACATATTGAATTGTGCTTCCCATCCATGCAAATCTAGGCACTACTAACTCCAGGTCTTGGTTTCAGAGAAAGAATGCTTTCATTAGGGGACTATGAAGGGTTCCATTTAATTTTAATCATGGCTGCCTCCTCATATTTTCAGATTCCTTGTTACAACAAGAGAAAAACACTCAAATAAAGGAGTCACCATCTCCTGGATATAGTAACTGACCTGATGACTAGGGAGAGGTGGGATTAAAGGAATAATGTTTGGTTTCATAGTGATCCACTAGGGTCGTTCTTGTTACTCACCTACTCAGTTTGAACATTAAATGTATAAGGTCAGCAGTCACAAATGTAGAAGGACAAGATGACAGTTCCAAGAGTGTGTGTCTGGATCTGAGTCACGCAACCAGTTAAGCCATCCAGTTTCATCTAATCTAACATAGGTGCTAACCTAGGGTGAAGGGAATTTAGAATGAAGAAGATCTAGAATTATGTAGAAAAATGATTGGTATCAGTTGAGAGACCAAGATCAGGCACAGTGCTAGGAGCTGTAATTTGTCTTCCCATCCTTCCTTTTCTATGTTTACCCAGAAAAACAGACCAAATTGAAACCTGGAAAAGAGCTATTCCCTAACAGATTATTTTATTGCATGCAGCAAATGGATCCTATAAAAGAAATGGATGAAATGTCAGAGATGCTGTAATTTTCTATGCAGAACCCAGGTAAAAGACTGAGGCACTTCTTCTCCCAGCTGTCAAAAATGTTTTTTGTTTTTTATTTGAAAGACTCACAGCTGAGTCTTTCCCCTGGAACTGCTTTTTATAGCCTCACTGAAAGTTAAGTCCTCTCCTCCTTCCCCTGGGACAGGCCACACCCAACAACTAGTCAACTCACAGTTGTACAAAGACCTCTTCCTTTCAACTGCAGACAATTCTAAAAGATCATCCCAGATCCAGAATTCCCTATGGATTGGTTGATGCATTTTCTACAATTGCATTTTCAGATAATCTTCATCCTTTGTCCAATTGTGCTTTCTTACTCTCTTATAGGTGTTGTTACCAAGAGCATTCTAAGCAAACTTTCTTCAGGCAAAAGGCAAATGACTCAGTCTGAGTCTGTTTCCCAGAAGCACAAATTGAGACCCAAGAGAAATTTCTTTCTAAAAAATGCTTGTACATATTCATACATAACATATATTTATCTCAGGGAAAAACGTAATTCTCTCTCTGACACACACACACACATACATACACACGCAAATACACCCCTGAAATATTCCATACACATCTTCATGACTAGGGTTCAAATAACCTCTCAACAGCAAAAGCTTCCCTTGATAGTTAGAGCCTCATTCTCTCAGAAATATGGAAGGGCTTGAATGTTCCGTACTGTTTCCTGTATCTACAATCTTTCATATGCTTTCATCTCTCCTCTTTCATCTATTCCTTACTTATTTCACTGATTTATACTTATTATAAAATATCCCCTCCAGTGTGACCTCCATTACCTGTCATTTTCTCTTTTCCTAAATTTTATTCTTACTTAGATACACTGTATATGCTTAAATATCGTGATTATTGCTGTACTAGTGTTTTTAAAGCTATGTAATTCCAGATATAGTTGTTGCCTTAGTATGATGTAAACTCCTTAAGGCCAGGGACCAAATCAGAGAGATAGGAAGAGTAATGATATGCATGTGGATTTGAAGTTCACCTGCCTCCACTTTGTTGTGAGAAATAGAGACTTGATAGTGTAACTTTAGGCTGAGCGTGGTGGCTCACTCCTATAATCCCAGCGCTTTAGGAGGCCAAGGCGGGTGGATCACAAGGTCAGGAGATCAAGACCATTCTGGCTAACACAGTGAAACCCCATCTCTATGAAAAATACAAAAAAAAAAAAAATTAGCCGGGCGTGGTGGCGGGCGCTTGTAGACCCAGCTCCTCCGGAGGCTGAGGCAGGAGAATGGCGTGAACCCAGGAGGCAGAGCTTGTAGTGAGCTGAGATCGTGCCCCTGCAATCCAGCCTGGGCGACAGAGTGAGACTCTGTCTCAAAAAAAAAAAAAAAAAAAAAAAGTGTAACTTTAAGTTCGTGTAAAATACACCAGTACTTGTAAAAGACCTACATAAATGCCTTCCAGAGAGTAAAAAGTACATTATTATTTGTTGGATGGATGAATTAATACACAAATGACTAAACGAATGATTGTCTGAAGACAAGAGAGACTAAAATGAAAGAGAAAAGAAATCGTAGATACAATTATGACCAAATTTCCATATGACAACCGTGTTTATAATAATATTTCATTTAAGACTCATAACAGATTTTTGTTTTAGGCATTATTATTGCCTTTTACTAGTTGAGAAAAATTAGGTTTGGGTGTTTAAGTAATATTTCAAAGTTACAGCTATTAAATGACATATTTAAGGTCCTAATAGAGTTACCTTTCAATTTTAATTATTCTGGATAGATAGATATGTATGCGTATATTTGTATAAAAGGACAGTGAATTTAGGAAGCTATGTAAAGTGAGAGATGAAAGTAGCATGAATGTTGGTTGTGACAGTGGAAATAAAAAGAATGAAATGACTCCAAGTGTTCTTTTGATGTAAGACTGTGAGCAAGCTTTATTGGATAGTTAGCTACCAGGAGAAAAAGATATGGACAGATCACTGGCAATAACATATTAATGGCCTGGAAGAACTGGGGAATGGCAATTCAATTAAGAGAACTATAAGAGTCAAGGTTTGGAGTTGGTGAGTGGTTAAAAAAAATTAGTCATATGCGGGCCGGGCGCGGTGGCTCACGCCTGTAATCCCAGCACTTTGAGAGGCCGAGGCCGGTGGATCACCTGAGGTCAGGAGTTCGAGACCAGCGATGCCAAACATGGTGAAACCCTGTCTCTACTAAAAATACAAAAAAATTAGTTGGGTGTGGTGGCGGGCACCTGTAATCCCAGCTACTCGGGAGGCTGAGGCAGGAGAATCACTTGAACCCAGGAGACGGAGGTTACGGTTAGCCAAGATCGTGCCAGTGCACTCCAGCCTGGGCAAAAAGAGTGAGACTCCATCTCAAAAAAAAAAAAAAAAAAAAATTAGTTGTATGCTGATATTAACGCCATTTAAGAACTTCCAAAGGAAATTCAGGACCAAAATTACTGGGATTGTAAGAGACATAATATTGATTTTTAACATTAATATATTACTATTAGAGGCAAAATATTTAAATATGTGAGTTTAGGAAATTTCATTGAGCATAGAATTTATAGGGCATTGTGTTGGCTTCAAATCAAAGAAAGTAAATGCAAAAAAGGGAAGCCTGTTGGAGCTAGGATTATGATTGTGGACTCTTTCATTTGAAGTAAAAACAGATTACATGCATAGAGTACATATACTGACTTCAAAAACTCATAATTTATGAGTGAATTTGAGTATAAATATTCTTTAATCTAACAAAATAGGAAAATAGGTGGTTTTTTTCTTAACATCTATTACCTATTGGCATTTTCTAGACTCAAGCTTCATCTGACCTGGATCAAACTGTATTTTGTTGGAATTGCAACATAAAAAGCATAGCCAACTTTTCGAAAAATAAAATATACTGGCCATGGAATAAATAAGGGAAACTTCATTTTTATTTTTTTGGCTTCCTCATAAATGTATGTTTTAATACAAATAAAACATAGAAGGAAGATGTTCTGCCTTTCTTTTGGATAAGACTATTTGTTAAAGTTCATGGCAGCATAGTGATGTAGTGTAACATTATAAGGAACAACGCTTTTTATATAGTTTCTTTCATTTACATGGCACATGCCTCCTCTACATACAATCTATACAAAGGAATAGGATAATATATGACAATTCTTCAAATGTGTAGAGACACATGACAGTTTTTCAGAGAGGAAAAAAACCTTTTCTCACAAAAATAACATACCTGTCAAAAGGGAAGACTTAAAAATATAACTTGTGAGAACTGTTTTTCAGTAAGTAACAACAGTTCCCCTTCTACCACCTAATGATCTAAATTTATATTTCTCCATAAAGTTGATTCCCAGCTGCTCCAAGAAATGTTAAGTATGATCAGCAGAAGAATCTAGTCATCACAATGAACTGGTGGACATTCATGACAGACTGAGGGCAAACTTCTACTGTTTTACCAATTCGGCCTCATACCTTTATGACAACCATAACTGACTCTTCTGAGTACATTTTTAGTTGGTTGCATTTTTAGTCAGTTTATTATTATTCTTCCCACATTCTATGGATAAGGAAATTCATATTTTGAGAAAGTATTATTTGTGATTGAAGGATGTAGGTGCTGATTTCAAACAGATCTGAGTTTGCCATTTATCAGCTACAAAACCTTGAACTTCTCTTAACACTTAGCAAAATTTCTCAATTAGTATAATGATAATTATAAATTATCTACCTCATAGAGTTATTGTGATGATTAAAAGTAATTGCTCCTATAAAGCACCTAACTTACAGCTTGGCTCATTGCAGGAAATAAAAAATGTTAATTATTTTTTAATGTCATTATAAATACTATTAGATATGGTGCTTTTGTAACTTTTAAGTTTAAGGGTACATGTGCAGTTTTGTTATAAAGGTAAACTGGTGTCATGGGGGTTTGTTGTACAGATTATTTCATCACCCAGGTATTAACCCTAGTACCTATTAGTTATTTTTCCTGATTCTCTTCCTCTTGCCACCCTTCCACCCTCCAATAGGCCCTAGTGTCTGTTGTTCCCCTCCATGTGTCCATGTGTTCTTCTCATTTGGCTCCCACTTACAGGTGACAACATGCAGAATTTGATTTTCTGTTCTTGCATTAGTTTGCTAAGAATAATGTCCTCCAGCACCATCCATTTTCCTGCAAAGGACATAATCTGGTTCTTTTTTATAGCTGCGTAGGATTCCATAGTGTATATGTCCCACATTTTCTTTATCCTGTCTACAATTGATGGGGATTTATGTTGACTCCTTGTCTTTTCTATTGTAAATGGTGCTGCAAGGAACATATGCCTGCATGTGTCTTTATGACAGGACAATTTATATTCTTTTGCTTATATACCCATTAATGAAATTACTGGGTCAAATGATAGTTCTGTTTTTAGCTTTTTGAGGAATAGCCACACTGTTTTCCACAATAGGTGCCCCAATTTACACTCTAACTGTGTACATGCATTCCTCTTTCTCCTTGACCTCATCAGTGTCTGTAATTTTTTGAAATTTAAGTAATAGCCATACTGACTTGTGTGACATGGTATCTCATTGTCTTTGATTTGCATTAGTCTAGTGATCAGTGTTGTTGAGCTTTTTTGATATGCTTTTTGGCTACATGTATGTCTTCTTTTGGAAAAGTGTCTGTTCATGTCCTTTGCTCACTTTTTAATGGGGCTGTTTGTTGTTTCCTTGTAAATTCGTTTAAGTTTCTTGCAGATCCTGGATATTAGAAATTTGTCAGATGCATAGTTTGTAAATAGTCAAAACTGGCTGGATCTTACAAGTGTTTTTATGGACTCAGAATGTGTTGAAACACATGAATTTGAAGATATGTCTTTAGTTAGCCATTGGCTTCTACCTTCACAAATTCAGGGCCTCTGAAGGCATTTGAATTGCTACCTTTGTACTTCCAGGACATATAACACGTTTATGATATCACTATTTTGTTCCCTTTTTTCTTTAGTGGTTGTAGTAAAAATTAATGAGATTTAACGTGAATAACACAATACTTGAACACAGTGAGTAACCATTGATTATTTGTGTAGTATAAGCTATTATGATTAATGTTTCAGCTTATACACATCCTGCTAGTTACTCAAAGTGAACTTTTTATTGATCATCTGTAGTCACTTGACAAAAATTTGGGTTTTTCTTTTAGGGTGCTTATATACTGCTAAAATAATCCTGTATGTTTTTCTCTTTGTATAATTTTAATTTAATAATCTCAGATGCTCTTAATGTTTCAGACGTTTTCAAGACAACTTTAAGACACAGCATTGTTCAAGTCCTTAGATTTCTGTGGTGTTCCTTTATGTTCTTAACTTGCCTGCTTCCTAGAATCTCTTGGAAACGCTATCATGATGGTGACTTGCCTCAGTGTATTTTACCTTGTGATATCATTAGGTCATTTTGGTGGTCTGTTTACTTTAATTTAGCAAGCCTAGTGAGTACAATTCACAGTAATATTCACTAGATACAAAAGTCAGCTTTAGCATATTAAATATACACAAAATACATCACGAGTAGAATCTACCAGAATCCTTTTCTTTGGCCCCATATTTGATGCCATGTAGACATTACCCAATTTTTAGTCCATTGCTGTTGTCATTGGTTCTCATGCATTTCTTTCTTTATTACATTCTCGTTGGTCTCAGAAAGTGAAGCAGATCTCTGGAACTCAGCCATCTCATTGATCCAACCAATCTTAACACACTTTTTTTTTTTTTTTTGGCTTTTTCTGAAAATGACTTTCTTCCAAATCTTCTATTTAATCCTCAAAAATCACATGGCAATGTTTGAGGTACCTCATTTCCATAGATGTTATTTCATCTGCTACATAGAGAAATATGTAAACAGCAGAGTGAATTGCCCAGTAGTATGTGGTTTTCTTTTGTTTTATTTTGTTTTGTTTTGTTTTTGTTTGTTTGTTTCACCATAGGTCATGATGCCTTGTCAGACATGAGAAGTTGTGCAGATTTGTGCTGCCCAAATTTCTCCTGGTTCCTTCTCCCTAGGCCCCAAACTGTATTTCTGTAGCTGGTTTTGGAGATCTTCAATGCGGGTTTTTATATGCATCAATTGTTTCAGATAGACTTAAATGCTTATAATGTTTTGTTGTGAGCAACCTTTTATTTTATTATCTCCATTTCTCTTGCTATGATGTTTAATTACTCATAAATCTATGCCTCATAGTCTCCATCTCAAAAGTATTTGGTCAAATACTCAAATTCAAATAACTGTTCCTGTATGGTTAGATGCATTTGCTGAGGAGAATCCTGAAATCCTGTAATCCAGGTATGTCTTTCAAAACTTAGCAGCAAGCTGGAAATCTTGCTGGAGTTCTAAAAGGTATACAACTAGAAGCCTGTTCTCCTTCACTTCAAATTTCTCCACCAAGTTTTCTGCCACTTGTTTCTGTTACAGCCATCATAGTTGCTCCCTTGAATCTCTTTAATCTCTCTGCCTTCTGGTAAAGCTGCCCTTCAACCGGGCCTGGTCTTGCCCTCACCAACTTGCCTGCTGGGAGCTTCCAGCCCAGATGGGGTTCCTGGCTTCACCTTTTATCACCTAGGGACCCTTAGTTCTGCTGAGCAAGCTCCTCATGATACAGGTGGGCCCAGCATTCCTCTTTTTTGTGGTTCAGGGAAACCACAAATAAGCTAGTATCTGATTCCAAGTAATCAACAAAAAGCATTATTTTGGTTTGTTATCTGTTTGCTTTTCCTGACAAGTAAGAAAGAAAATCATTTTCAGCTTGAATTACAATGGTAGAAAAGGCGTGTGAGATCTGAGTTCCAACTAACTACCTTAGGTAAGTTGCCTTATAAAAGAGAAGTTTCATGCATGACTGTGAAGATCTCTAAGCTTGTAATTTTTCTTTGATTATTGATTCATATCGAGAGAGGATACTTCCCTTGACCCCTTCACAGGACTCCTGAAGGAGTGGCTCACTTACTCAGCCTACAGCTCTGAACCTCTCACGGAAGGGAGAGTATGCAGGTGAATGGGTGCCGGAGCTGGGGCAAGCAAATGCTGGAACCTGCCCATTGCTCCTCTCTGGCAGGAGCAGGCTCTGTGCTGGCCCTGCAGCAGCATCCAAGCATCTTACAAAGCTCTTTTAGCTTTGTCATCTGGGAGGAAGTATGTGCGCCCCCAAGAGCCTCAGAGGGCATGCGTTAAAATCAGTGTTCTTTTAACATTTGCCTTCGTGGACAGGTGTTAACCAGCTCAATGGAGGGTAAGGGTGACAGCCTTTTACACCCTGCCCTCTTGGTACTTGAGTTATTGTCCGGCATCCAGGAAGAATCAGGTCACAGGAATGAACTGGAGGTTGGTGTATGAGGAGGATTTTGTTGAGTGGCGGAACCGATTCTCAGCGGGAGGGCAGCTGGAAGAGGGATGCAGCTGGAAGAGGGATATAGCGGGAAGATAATTTTCCCGTGGAGTTCTGCTGTCCCCGGCCGAACTCTTCTCCAAATCCCACCATCAAGTCGTTCCTCTGAAGTCAAGCTGCTTTTCTCCAACATCCGGCCACTTCTTCTTTCCTTCTCTGCTGCTCCGTCCTGCTCCGCTGCCTGTGGAACTTGTGGTTTTTAAGTGGTACATGGTAGGGGGTGGGATGGGCCAGGGTGGTTTTGAAAAGGCACATTTGGGCAGGAAAACAGGGATGTGAAGCTCTCATTTAGGACCATGAGTCCAGGCTTGAGGATGGAGCCCTCACCAGTACCCCCTCCCTCCTCTACCCATTCCTTCCCTGCCTCCTGTTCATATCAAAATAATTGGGTATTTTTTCAAACTGAAATTTTTAAAAGTTTATATAACAAGAAATTTATGTTTTAAGAATTCCCCGTATACATTGGGAAAAATAATGACTTTTTAAAGACATTAATAAATTTTAGAGTACAATAAACTACACCTTCTGTGTTAAAAATAGTTTTTCATGGCTTGTGATAGTGAGCTGGATTCCAAAGTAAAAAACTCTAAAGACATCACATATCTAAAACTACAATAATGCTGAGTGACAGTTTGATTCGTATTTTTCATGTAGGAAAAGAGGAAAAGGTGTATTATTTTGGGCAGAGTAATTAAGTCTCAGTGTTTCTGTTTTAGTATGTGAAAGGGTATTAGTGATATTAGAAGAACAAAAGAAAAAGGGTAGAGACTAATATCCTTCCCAGTGTTGTGATGGTTGTAGATAAGCAACCACACAGCCTGAGCAGCCAGTTCTGAAGCACTAAAATTACTGTTGAAATGAAATACACCTCGGTGGCCCAGATCTGGAATCTTTATAACATACACTTTGATGCTGGGGTAAGTTTCACTCTTTTCACTGCAAAACACCAATGATCTTATTCTATGCATTTACAAAATCAGCTCAGTTTCTCTACTAATATTTTTCTTAATTCTGTGTATTCTACTTTCTGTGTCTCTTTTCTTATTAGATGTTGGATGGCAGATGTTTCTGTAAGATAATTGTTTGAGGGAAGATCTGTATAATTTATCCTTTTTTGATCAAAACATACAGTAAAAGCTTATTAAGATATTTTGTTTTTCAAGCAAAATAAACAGTATATTCAAGTTTATCTGAAGTATTAAGTTATATAAATATATATTATTATTCTGAGTGCCAATTTAATGTGTATACTTATCCATGAACACAAAATCCATTATTATACCTTCTATACTTCCCAAATAATAGTGTAGCATTTTCTTTAGATGTGTTCTTAGTTCTCCTTTTACCTATAAATTGAATGAACCT